>NC_000012.12:110944976-111096491 GCF_000001405.40 Homo sapiens
CTGTCTCTATAATTACTCCAGGAATCTCACATAAGTGAAATCATACAATATTTATCTTTTTTGTGTGTCTGGCTTATCTCACTTAGCATGATTCTTCAAGTGTCATTCATGTTGTAGCCTATGTCAGAACTTCCTTCCTTTTTAAGGCTGAATAATATTTCATTGTGTGGATAGACCACATTTTTGCTTATCCATTCATCCATCGATGGACACCTGGATTGTTTCCATCTTTTGGCTATTGTGAATAGTGTTGCTGTGAACATGGGTATACAAATATCTTTTTAAGTCCCTGCTCTCAATTCTTGTGTGTATATACCTGGAAACGGATATCTTTAACTTTTAATGTTGTCTGTGACTCTTTTTGGTATGCAGAAGCTTTACATTTTAAAATACTCATCTATCAATATTTTTCTTATTGCTTTGGCTCTGGGTTCATTTCTATACTATTTTTAGAGACCTCTAGGTAAAGGTTCTATTTATTCATTACTGTGTAACAATGTACCCCATAACTTAGTGGCTTGAAATAAATAATAATCATTTATTTTGGTTGTGAATCAGCAATTTGGACAGGACTTAGTGGGGTCAGCTTGTCTCTGTTGCATGGGGCTTCAGCTGACACAGCTCAATGTGGGTGGGAAGATCCACTTCCAAGATGGCTCACTCACGTGGCGTCTTGGTGCTAACCATTGGTTAGGAGCTCAGCCTAACCTCAGGCATTAGACTGAGAACTCTGGTTCCTCTCCATCTGGGTCTCTTCAAAGGCTACTTGGGCTTCCTCACAGCATGGTGGCTGGGTTTCAAGATTGAGCATCTCAGTAAATCGAGGCAGAAGTATACGGTATTTTTGTGACCTAGCCTCAGAAGTCACATGGTATCACTTTTACTGTACTCCACCAGTCAAGAAAGGCATAAATGCCAAACCAAGTTCAAGTGGGGATGGAACATAGATTCCACCTCTTCATGGAGGAGTTGCAAAGTTCCAGAAGGGCATGTGGGCTGGGAAATATTACTGCAGACATTTTTTGGAAAATATAATGTGCCAAGCTCACTCTCTGGCCACAACAATTCATATCCCTTTCACATGTAAAATACACTCCTCTGAGACCTCCCAGGAGTTTCATCCCATTACAGGATCAGGCTTAGTATCAAGGTCCAGGATTTTATTATCTAAATCAGGTCCAGGCCCACATTATGCTCCTCAGGTATGATACTTTGGGGACAGCTCTTTGAGTACTTTTCTTTTTGACCTGAACATCTGTAAAATAAAGAGCAAATTAACTGCTTCTTACACACTCAACATGCAGTCATGGGTCAGGCACAAGACAACTGTTACAGGCACTCACATTTAAAGAGGTAGAAAACAGGAGGTAAATCACTGGTCCATAACAATTCTAAAATCCAGCTGGGCAAATGTTGCTAAATGTTGCCAATTCCTTGACTGGGACTCAGGATTGTTCCCTAGATATGATTCTGAGTCACTGTTATTTTCCATAAAGTACAGCCATGTTTGCAGCTGAGGGTTTTTCTTGGCTTGCTTCCTACCTATAGAAGTTTGGAAAACCAAAGACCTCATTTTATTTTCTATTCTCTCAGTTCCTTTTAGTTCAAGCAGGCACAGCTTCCACCAGAACAATTCTATTAAAAACACTGTGTGTTTCCTACGAATCTTATTGAGATTCATGCCATTAAAGAAAAGCCAAAATCACAAATCTCTTTGAGATAAGCCCTTTCTACCGTGGGTTCCCATTGAGATCACTGTAGATCAATGCCTTTAAGATCTTAAAAAGGCTTGTCATATAATGGAAAGTGCCTGTGAGGCATGGCCTATAGATCCTTAGAGAAGCTTTTCTGTACTGGAAAGGTTCTATGAGGCACTGCCATAAATCTTTCTTGTGTCTTAAAGGAACTTACAATCCCACCTGGATTCAATATTTGGTCTGAGGCCCTTCCTTTTTTTTTTTTTTTCTGATGGAGTTTTGCTCTTGTCGCCCAGGCTGGAGTAGAATGGCATGATCTCAGCTCGCTGCAACTTCCGCCTCCCGGGTTCAGGAGATTCTCCTGCCTCAGCCTCCCAAGTAGCTGGGATTACAGGTGCGCACCACCACGTCCAGCTAATTTTTTGTATTTTTAGTAGAAATGGGGCTTCACCATGTTGGCCAGGCTGGTCTCAAACTCCTGACCTCAGGTGATCCACTTGCCTCGGCCTCCCAAAATGCTGGGATTACAGGTGTGAGCCACTGCGCCCAGCCATTTCCTTCTTTTTCTTTGCTGTGTCTCTCACCTCTCCATTTTCTAAGTCAAAGTTACTGAAGTAAAATTTATATAGAGAAAAATTTGCCCTTTTTAGGGGTATAGTTCTGTAAGTTCAACAAATGCATATAATTACGTAACTACCACTACAATCACCCAAAAAACTTCCCTTGTATAGGTTTGTAGTCATTTCTATCACCCACCCAGCCCCTGGCAGTTCCTCATTTATTTTCTGTCCCTGAAGTTCTGCCCTTTTCAGAATGCCATATACAGGGAATAATGCAGTATGTGAGTAGAATCCCATTGTATGGATATTCCATAATTTGTTTATCCATATTGGTGGATACTTGTCTATTACAAATAAAGCTGCTATGGACATTGATGCTTACAAGTCTTTGTGTGGATATATGTTTTTGTATTTGTTTGCTATGGGTGCTATAACAAATCACCACAAACGTAGAGGCTTCAAACAACACAAATTTATTATTTTATAGTTCTGGGGGTCAGAATTTTAAAATGAGTTTCACTGGGATAAGATCAAAGTGTCAGCACAGCTGCATTCCTTCTGGAGGCTCTAGGAGGAATCTATTCCCTTGCCTTTTCCAGCTTCTAGAGGCCACCTGAATTTATGGCTTGTGGCTCCTTCCTCCATCTTCAAAGGCAGCAATGACAAGTCAAGTCTTGTCACATGATGTCACTCTCACACTCACTCTTCTGCCTCCCTCTTTCACTTATAGGGACCCTTGTGATGACATCAGGCCCACCTGGATAATCCAGAACAATCTCTCCATCTCAAGATCCTTAATCTAATCACATCTAAAAAGTCTCCTTTGTCATGTAATTTAACATGTTTATGGGTTCCAGGGATTAGGGCATGGACATCTTCAGGGGCCATTATTTTGCCTACCACAGCTTTCTTTTCTCTTGGGTAAATACCTAGGAGCAGAATGGCTGGATCCTGCAGCAGGTGTTTAACTTTTTTAAAAAAATTGCCAAACTGGTTTCCAAAGCGCTTGTACTATCTTACATTCCCATCAGCAATGTACAAGAGTTCCAGTTCCTCCACATTCTTCCCCAGCATTTGGAATGGTCAATATATTAGATTCCAAGGGTTGCTGTAATTAATTGCCACAAACTGGGGGTCTTAAAACAAGAGAAACGTGTTTTCTCACAGCTCTGGAGGCCAGAAGTTTAAAGTCAAGAGTCAGCAGGGTTGATTCCCTCTGGAGGCTCTCAGGGAGAGAGCTTCTTGCCTCTTCCAGCTCTGGTGGCCACAGATATTCCTGGGCTTATATATACATCACTCCAATCTCTGTCCCTGGCTTCACATGGCATTCTCTTCTCTGTGTGTCTCTGTGTCTTCATGTGGCCTTCTTAAGGACAACAGTCAGTCAGTAGATTTAGGGCCTACCCTAATCCACTATTACCTTGCTTTAACTAATTATCTGAAAATATCTTATTTCCAAATAAAGTCACATTCTGAGGTTCCAGTGGACATGAATTTGGAGGCGACCCTATTCAACTCAGTATAGCCAGTCTTTTAAATTTACCATTCTAATAGGTATGTAGTAGTGTCTCATTGTGGTTTAAATTTGCATTTTTGTAATGACTAATAATGCTAAACAACTGGTCATGTGTTTATTTGCCATCTTGTTTGGTGAAATGTCTGTTCAAATCTTTTGCCCATTATAAAAGCTGGGCTGTTTATTTTCTTATTATTGAGTCTTGAGAGTTCTTTATGTATTGTGGATACAAGTTTTTGTTTTTCTTTAATTCAGATGTGTAACTTGCAAACATTTTCTCTCAGTCCATGGCTCACATTTCCATTCTCTTAAAAGAGTTATTCAAAGAGCAGAAGGTTTTAATTTTGATGAAGATCACTTTTTCAATTTTTTTATGGCTCATGCTTTTGATAGTGTGTCTAAGAACATCCCGTTTGCCTAACCCAAGGTCACAAAAATTTTCTTTTTTTTTTTTTTTTTGCCATTGATTTATCTTTATTATAGTTTAATGGAACAATTTGATAAGAAGACATATCTAATATAGCTTAGATGAACAGCTTATACAGGTTCAGTATCCCTTATCTGAAATACTTTGGACCAGAAGTGTTTGGGCAGATTTTGGAATATTCGTATTATGCTTATCGGTTCAGCTTCCCTAATCTGAAAATTAAAATTCAAAATGCTGCAGTGAGCATTTCCTTTGAACAACATGTTGGGCCTCAAAAAATTTCATATTTCCAGTGTGTGTAGATGGTGTCACCTGGGGCTTGAGTGGCTACACATGAGTATCAAAGACAATGGCCAAGAACAAATTAAGTGGGCAGAAGTATAGGAATGTATTCACATTGCCGCCAAAAAAACTTTAAAGCTAAAAAGAAAGTAAAACCAGTTACCACTAATTTTTTTTTTTTTTTGAGACAGAGTCTCACTGTGTTGCCCAGACTGGAGTGCAGTGGCACGATCTCGGCTCACTGCAACCTCCACTTCCCGGGTTCAAGCGATTCTACTGCCTCAGCCTCCCGAGTAGCTGGGACTACAGGCACGCACCACTGTGCCCAGCTAATTTTTGTATTTTTTTAGTAGAGACGGGGCTTCACCATGTTGGTCAGGCTGGTCTCAAACTCCTGACCTCCTGATCCACCCACCTGGGCCTCCCAAAGTGCTGGGATTACAGGCTTGAGCCACCGTGCCCAGCCCAGTTGCCACTATTCTTTTTTTTTTTTTTTTAATTTAATTTAATTTAATTTTTTTTTTATTGATCATTCTTGGGTGTTTCTCGCAGAGGGGGATTTGGCAGGGTCATAGGACAATAGTGGAGGGAAGGTCAGCAGACAAACAAGTGAACAAAGGTCTCTGGTTTTCCTAGGCAGAGTGTTTGTGTCCCTGGGTACTTGAGATTAGGGAGTGGCGATGACTCTTAGCGAGCATGCTGCCTTCAAGCATCTGTTTAACAAAGCACATCTTGCACCGCCCTTAATCCATTTAACCCTGAGTGGACACAGCACATGTTTCAGAGAGCACAGGGTTGGGGGTAAGGTCATAGATCAACAGGATCCCAAGGCAGAAGAATTTTTCTTAGTACAGAACAAAATGAAAAGTCTCCCATGTCTACTTCTTTCTACACAGACACAGCAACCATCCGATTTCTCAATCTTTTACCCACCTTGCCCCCTTTTCTATTCCACAAAACCGCCATTGTCATCATGGCCCGTTCTCAATGAGCTGTTGGGTACACCTCCCAGACGGGCTGGTGGCCGGGCAGAGGGGGCTCCTCACTTCCCAGTAGGGGCGGCCGGGCAGAGGCGCCCCTCACCTCCGGGACGGGGCGGCTGGCCGGGCGGGGGGCTGACCCCCCAACCTCCCTCCCAGACGGGGCGCTGGCTGGGCGGGGGGCTGAGCTCCCCACCTCCCTCCCGGACGGGGCGGCTGGCCGGGCGGGGGGCTGACCCCCCCACCTCCCTCCCGGACAGGGCGCTGGCTGGGTGGGGGGCTGAGCTCCCCACCTCCCTCCCGGATGGGGCGGCTGGCCGGGCGGGGGGGCTGACCCCCACCACCTCCCTCCCGGACGGGGCGGCTGGCCGGGCAGGGGGCTGACCCCCCCACCTCCCTCCCAGACGGGGCGGCTGGCCGGGCAGAGGGGCTCCTCACTTCCCAGTAGGGGCGGCCGGGCAGAGGCGCCCCTCACCTCCCGGACGGGGCGGCTGGCCGGGCAGGGGGCTGACCCCCCCACCTGCCTCCCAGACGGGGCGGCTGGCCGGGCGGGGGGCTGACCCCCCCACCTCCCTCCCGGAAGGGGTGGCTGCTGGGTGGAGACCCTCCTCACTTCCCAGACGGGGTGGCAGCGGGGCGGAGGGGCTCCTCACTTCTCAGACGGGGCAGTTGCCAGGCAGAGGGTCTCCTCACTTCTCAGACGGGCGGCCGGGCAGAGACGCTCCTCACCTCCCAGACGGGGTCGCGGCCGGGCCCAGGCGCTCCTCACATCCCAGACGGGGTGGCGGGGCAGAGGCGCTCCCCACATCTCAGACGATGGGCGGCCGGGCAGAGATGCTCCTCACTTCCTAGATGGGATGGCGGCTGGGAAGAGGCACTCCTCACTTCCCAGGTGGGATGGCGGCCGGGCAGAGACGCTCCTCACTTTCCAGACTGGGCAGCCAGGCAGAGGGGCTCCTCACATCCCAGACGATGGGCGGCCAGGCAGAGACGCTCCTCACTTCCCAGACGGGGTGGCGGCCGGGCAGAGGCTGCACTCTCCGCACTTTGGGGGGCCAAGGCAGGCGGCTGGGAGGTGGAGATTGTAGCGAGCCGAGATCACGCCACTGCACTCCAGCCTGGGCACCATTGAGCACTGAGTTAACGAGACTCCGTCTGCAATCCCGGCACCTCGGGAGGCCGAGGCTGGTGGATCACTCGCGGTTAGGAGCTGGAGACCAGCCCGGCCAACACAGCGAAACCCCGTCTCCACCAAAAAAACACGAAAACCAGTCAGGTGTGGTGGCGCGCGCCTGCAGTCGCAGGCACTCGGCAGGCTGAGGCAGGAGAATCAGGCAGGGAGGTTGCAGTGAGCCGAGATGGCAGCAGCACAGTCCAGGTTTGGCTCAGCATGAGAGGGAGACCCTGGAAAGAGGGAGAGGGAGAGGGAGTGGCTCGGCATGACAGCGAGACCGTGGAAAGAGGGAGACAGAGGGAGAGGGAGGGGGGGAGGGGGAGGGGGAGGGGGAGGGAGAGGGAGAGGGAGAGGGAGAGGACAAAAATTTTCTTTCTTCAGGAATCTTTGTAGTGTTGTATCTTTACATTTAGATCTATAAGCTGTTTTGAGTTAATTTTTACATATAAGATGTAGAATGCCTGCTCTCACCCATTCCTATTCAACACTGCAGTCGGTGTTACAGCCATTTTGATAATGCAAGGCAAAGACATAAAAGGCATTAACATTGGAAAAAAGGAAGTAAAATTTGCACATGATATGATAATCTTTATATAAAATCTGATGATTTTCTAGTAATTGAGAACTAGTAATTGAGTTTAGCAAGGTTGCAGGATACAAGATCATTATACAAAAATCAATCACACTTCTAAATCCAGTCAAAAACAACTAGAAATTGGAATATTAAAACACAATACTATTTACAATAGCATCAAAAGTAAAAAGTGTTACGGGATAAATCTGACAAAAAAGTGATGAAATACTTCTAGAGTAAAAACTACAAAACACTGCTGAAGGAAATTTAAAAAGAGCTAAATAGGTGGAGAGATATATCCTGTTCATGAGTTGGAAGACTTGGTATTGTTGTGATGGCAATTTCCCCCCAAATTGAACTATAGATTTAATGCAATTCTGATCAAAGATCCCAGAAGGCTTTTTTTTTTTTTTTGGTAGAAAGTGATGTTTATTCTAAAATTCATAAAGAAAGACAAAGGACTTAGAAAGCCTTTGAAAAATAATAAAGTTGGAGAACTAACACTATGTGATTTCAAGACTTATTATAAAACTACAGTATTCAAGGCAGCATGGTATTGGTATAAAGACAGGAATATAGATCAATAGAACAGAATACAGAGTCTATAAATAGATCCACACATAAATGGACAACTGATTTTTGACAAAGTTACAAAGGCAATTCAGTGGAGAACAGATAGTCTTTTGCCCACTTTAAATAGGGTTGCTTTATAATAACACGGAGTTTCCTTTCAAAATTGAGTTTTGAGAATTTTTTTATCTTCTTATTTTGGAAACCATTCCTTTATAACATATGCATTTTGTAAATATTTTCTCCCAGTTTCTTGTCTTTTCATTTTCTTAACCAAGGCTTTGAAAGAGCAGAAGTTCTAAATTTTGATGAAGCCCAATTTATCAGCTTTTTTCTTTTATGATTTGTGTTTTTGTGTCCCACATGAGAAATCTTTGCCAAACTTGAGTCACAAAGATTTTCTCCTATGTCATCTCCTGAAAATTTCATAGTTTTAGGTTTTACATTTAAGTCTATGATCCATTTAAAGTTAATTTTCGTACAGGGAGCTAGGTATGAACTGAGGGTTGTTTTATTTTGCATATAATGTCCATTTTTTCTAGCCCTCTTTATTGAAAAAGACTTTTTTCTATTGAATTGCCTTTGCACCTTAGTTGAAAATCAATTGACCATATACGAGCAGGTCTATTTCTGGATTCTCTGTTCTGTTCCATTGATCTATGTGACTATCCTCTCACCAATACCACACTGTCTTGATTACTGTAGACTTACTTTATAGTAAGTCTTGAAATCAGGTAATAAAAGCCTGAGGGCTTTTCTCAGTTTGAGAAGTTTTTGCCATCTAGAGAAGCTAGGAACGAAAAATAATTTTGTTTTCAAGTCCAGCAGATCCTGGCTCCTTTATATTTAATAGCTTGTTTTAGTTCGTTTCTTTCCTTTTACATTTTATCATAGGTAGCAAGAAAAAGCCAGATAACACTTTTAATATTCTGCTATAACAGTGAGTTCACTGGATACATGTCTTCTTTCTATGTTACCGCAGGTGACAAACTTTCCACCACCACATAACAAAGATCCCCTTTCTTCCAGTTTCTAATAACGTTTTTCTTAATTCGGCACTAACATCCTTCTCAGGACTCTACAAGCTTTTAGTATGTCCAAGGCCCTGCCGAGGTCTCTGATACCTGGATCTGGCCCACAGCCTCTTGCACAGTTACAGTCAAATGGAGCTGGTGCTGGGCTAGCAGGGGGCAGCTGGGTGTTCCTGAGCCTCTCTCTCTCTGCATGGAGTCTCCGGGCTCTCTGTGCAGTCACTCTGCATAGGCTAGTTTGGGCTTCCTCACAACATGGCAGTCTCAGGTTGGCCAAATTGCTTACATGGAGGCTGTAGGCTTCAAGAGTGAGTTTTCTAGGTCACAAGGAGGAAGCGGCACCATCTTTTCAGACTTAGCCTTGGAAGTCACCTATGGATGGAAGCCACTTCCACCATACTCTATTGCTCCAGGCAATCCCAAACTCACCCCAATTCAAGGAGAGGGGACAGCGACTCTTACCTCTTGACAGTAGAGTGGCAAAGTACTAGAAGAACGTTTGGGAATACGAGATATTTTGTGGCCACCTTTGGAAAATACAATCTACCACAATAAGGAAAACCCTTCATTTAGGAAAAATTGTTCTTAATGCATAATTTTAAAAATCTCTCACGTCCCATAATTATTTAATGCATTTCCTCTTTTGTTGTTCTTGAAGTTTCCTCTGGGGATTTAGCTATCAAAACCAGAGGTATGCTGGAGGTAGCTCACACTGGCTCATGAAAGCCAATTGTTAAACTTTTAGAAATTTTGCAAGCTAGTTGTTAAACAGCAATTATTTTAAATTAAATTATATAACACTCAAAGAGATTAAATTAAAAACATATAATAAATGATGCACTACTCATTACTTTCTGATTATTTTATAAATTTTGCTATTATCTATGCTCTTGAGATTAAAGTCTATTGTATCTATATGGTGGAAATAATGTATAATGTTGGGTCACTCACTGTGCCTCTCTTTCCAACTTCACATTCAGTGACTCTATCTTGTTAGCTTGAATATAGCCATGGTGGGAATATTTACACCATGAAAATAGACAGATGCTACCAATCAGGGCTTTGGCTGATTGTCTAGACCTCAGAAAGAAATGAAGAAAATGTTATAATACAGATTAAATTTTAAAGTGTGTTGTGTTATACCCATTACATTGTGAACAGCAATAAAAATTGGAGTAAATATTCTTCCAGTATTAAAAACTATTATCCAATTTAGCAAAGAAGTTGATGGCTGAGTCAAGTTTCAACATATGTCTTCATTGTCTCACTTTCATTTTACTCATTAATGGAAATGAAAAATCAGCCAACATTCATGTTGGAAATACACTCATGGTTGGGGTGCAACTCCATTTGTCAAATCATGGTTGGCTTGCAGCTCGGATAACACAGAGAGACCCTATCTCTAAAAAAATTTTTTAAAAAAATCATTAGCCTGGCATGGTTGGTGGGCACCTGTAGTCCCAGCTACTGAGGAGGATTCCTTGAGCCCAGGAGTTCAAGATCAGCCTGAATTATATCAAGATCCCATTTCAAACAAATGAAGGAAGGAAGGAAATCATGGTTAACTTGCAATTACAGATAGATAATAGCTACAGAGATTGGCAAAACTAAATGAAACTTTATTATTATTTGCAAAATTTGCACCACACATCCTTTAAATCAGTAAAATTCATCACACAAAAAAGTATGTATGTACATGCATACATGTATACATTTTTTAAGAGATGGGAGCTTGCTATGTTGCTCAGGCTGGTCTCAAACTCCTGGCCTCAAGTGATCCTCTTACCTTAGCCTCCCAAAGTGCTGGGGTTACAGGCATGTATCACTATGCCTGGCCTACAATTTTTTTAGGACAGCTGGTTGCTACTAGCCTGCCACTGATCAAAACCCACCACTGAAAGAATGACAGTTTTCATTTACTGAGAAGTTCGTGAATGTTGGAAAATAATAATAGCTAATATTCATTGTGTGCTGTTCTAAGCCCTCTACATGTCTCATCACATTTAATCCTCACAAGAGCCTGCGAGGTGGGTACTATTATTAATACCATTTTCAAGATCAAGAAACTGAGACACAGAGGGGTAGAATAACTTGCCTAAGGTCACAGAGCTGAAAAATGACAGAACCAGGATTTAAAGTCATGAAGACTGAATCCAGAGTCTGTGTTCTTAGCTCCTGCTCTGTGCTGTTTCTCCAAGGGTAACGTGCTATCTTGGAAAGGCATAAAATAATTTTAACGATTCTACTGACAATAAAATAGCTAATTTTTGGCTGGGCGCAGTGGTTCATGCCTGTAATTTCAGCACTTTGGGTTGCTGAGATGGGTGGGCTGCTTGAGACCAGTAGTTTAAGACCAGCCATGGGAAACATGGTGAAACCCTGTCTCTACAAAAAAAAATACAAAAAATTAGACAGGTATGATAGCACACCCCTGTAGTCCCTGCTACTCACGAAGCTGAGGTGGGAGGATTGCTTGAGCCTGGGAGGTTGAGGCTGCAGTATGCTGTGATTGCACCATTGCACTCCAGCCTGGGTGACAAAGCGAGACCCTGTCTCAAAAAAAAAAAAAAAGCTATTTTAAAAAAATGAATTACTTTCATTGTGTCAGGCTCTGTGCTAAGAGATTTGCATGTTCTGTCATTTAACTTCCAAATATACAATTTCTGCTACTATCCCCATTTTACAGGACAGGAAAATGAGACCCACAGAAGTTCAAGTCACCAGGCCAGTTATTGTTGGGCTAGCACTTGAAGCCAGGTCTGCCTGAATTTAGGGCCTCAGCTCTTTCCCACGCATTTTTAGCCCAGAACCAAGCTGTTCATAAAAGGTGTGCCTGCAAATAGGAAACTAGAGAGCATGGGCCCTCAGAGAGAGCTCTGAACCCCATCTTCGACCTCGAACCTGTCCTTGGACTGAACCTGTCTTTAGGAGGTCTGCCCATACGGATGAATCTGGAGCAGAGGCCGGGCTCAGCAGGAGAGCTTCACAAAACTGAGATTCGATGAAGCAGAGCCCCGTTTTAAGGGCTGCACAAATCCACCCGGAGCCTTCCGTGTTCTCTCTCTCTCCAACAGCCTCCCTATGAGGAGCAACTGTAGGGACCGAGAGACAATAGCAGGCTGGGCCATGGGGAGGGATTTTTTTCCCGGGATCTCAGTGGAGATGGGGAGGTAGAGTGAGGGAAGGAAGCAGCCAGGCAGAGAGGCGCGGGGCTTTATTAATTAATTGAGGGAGAGACGTAATGGAGGGTGGAATCCACAGAGGGAAAGCGGGCTCCATCTCGAGTTTATGGGTCATTTTTCTGGTGGCAGTTCAGTTGCCCCAGAGAGGATAGCACCTCGGTCTGTCGCCTCCTGACAAGCACTAGGGGCCCTCAAGGCAAGTGGGATGTACCCCACTTCTGGCCTGCAATAGAAAGAACTCCCTTCCCGGATTCCAGGCGCGCTGGCTTTGGCCACGTGGAATGGTCATGGTGGGCTGCACTGGGAACCACATTGCAGGTTCGAATCCCAACTGCACTGTGTAGGAGCTGCGTGACCTTGAGTGAATTGGTTGACCCTTCTGTGCCTCAATCACCTCCCCTGTGAAGTGGGAACAACAGTACCTTCCTCGTAGAGTTGGGACGAGGATTAAATGCTTGAAATGATGCCAGTCCCACAGTAAAGCTTTCGGCAAAGGATGGGATTATTGGACCTGGGAAGGAGAAGACAGGTGCCTCAGTTTACCACGGATTCCACATGTGACCCAAATGCCAGCATGGGGGAAAGGAGACGTCTCCTTACCCCTTAGGCCTGGACAGTAAGTGGACTCCATCAATTCCACAGCCTGCCAATTTCTGGTAAATTCCTGTGTTCTTTTCTCCTCCACGGCCTCCTTCATCCACCATCTCTGCTCCTCCATGGGTACCTACGCAGACCCCAGAGACATCCCAGGGTCCCTCGGACACTCGCAGCTTCAGTTTCCCAGCATTGATTGCACTGCTCTGGGGAACAGTGCCCGTCCCTCCCCAAGGGCCCGAGGGCTTCTGGGAAGTGACATCCTCTTCCAGGGGTGGGGCCTGTGGCTGAGGTCTGAGCCAATCAGGATAATCCCTACCCCTTGGCTACAGTGATTGGCCCAAGGATGGGCATGTGACCTGAGCTTGTTCATCGGAATAAAGATGAATGTTTTCTACAAATTGAGGGAAGAGACTCCTTTGCTTGCTGGTCTAAAAAAAGGAATGATCTTTCTCCAGGTGCTGCTGACAGCCATCGTGTGCTGCGGAGGAAGATTGCCTGAGAATGGAGCCATTCAGGAGGAAATGGGGCAGAGAAATAAAGAGAAATCAAATCCCATCTTTTCAGTCCCGCTTCCCTCACTCCCTCATCCATTCTTCCTGGCAGACTATTCAGTTGTGCTTTTTAAGATTTATTCTGTTTTTGTTTTTCACCTAAGACGGTTTAGCTTGTTTGTTTTTCTCTTGTTTGCAACCAGTGTGTTCTAGCGGTTATTACGAATTTAATAGACTTTATACAAGATTTTGTAAAGGGCAGAAAACTCAAGATTGGACAGTGACTTTCTCCTAGGACACTATCTTGCCGGTGCCCTCACCTCAGTCTCCACCCTGGATCTCCGATTTTGTCCCTGAAACTTCAAATTCTTTTCCTTCAATTATACAATGCAGCAGCTCTCCTTTCAGTAGTGCTACTTTGTACCCTACCCTGGGGAAGAGGTAGCTCATATTCGAACCTGAGCTCTTGGCAAGGTCTTTTTCCAGATCTAAGGCAGTTCCCTTCCTAAGGGAGAGTCAGATGCCACTGAGGAGAGAGAAAGGTAGTCGGAGGGAATGTTATGGCAGACACTGTGGTTGCTCACTAATGTAACATCCCTTCTCTTCTTCCTTGCTGTAAGGACTCTAATCTTGTTCCGGGATTTAAGGAAGGTGGGTTCAGCCTCTGGCTTAGAGGATGGGCATGTAACCCAGTCTGACCAGCAAGGTATAAAGGTCAATTTATGGGCAGTCTGGGAAAGTTTTTCTTCCCCGATAAGAGGAAAACATAAGGGGATCTCTCTGCTCTAAGCCTCCAATTACTTCCTTCTCCAAAAGCAGTTATGTGAGGATGTGATGCCTGGAGCTGTGGAAGCCATTTTGTGACCATGAGGAGAAAGCCAAGAGAATAACAGAGACACTATCCCAATGTCCTGAGTATTGTTCAGCTATGAAACTAACCCTGGAAACTCCTTGGGCCACATAGTAGATATTTTAAGTTTTGCCAGCCATATGTCTCTGTCATGACTACTAAACTCTTCATTTATATCGTGACAGCAGCCTTTGACAATATGTTAACAAATGGATGTGACTATGTTCTGAGAAAACTTCATTTTCAAAAACGGGCTAAGGGCCAGATTTGCCCTGTGTGCCACTGTTTGGCACAACCTGTATTTTTGGCCATATTAGCTGGATTTGCAGTTACTTGCACTCAAAGCATTTCTAACAGAGCATGTATGGGCTGCCCTAGAGGGCAGTCTCTCACCCCAAACACAGCTGTGCTCACAGGCTCAATTGCCACTTGCTGGAAGCAACAGCTTATTTTCTTCTGTCTACCAACATTCATTCACTCAACAAACGTCTATTGAGTGCCTACTCTGTGTCAGGAACTGTTCTGATGCTGGGGCTAAAATAGGAGATGTTGAACCCTTTCCTTGGGGAGTTCTCTTTATATAACATTGGGAATCAAGAAAGCCTTCCTAGAGGAGGTGATAACTAAGTTAGCTCTGAAGGGTGAATAAGAGTTAGGAAGATAAAGGGCAAAACATGTGGGCCTGGGCGGGTAGGAGGGCATTCCAGGCAAAAGTAAGAGGGGACATGGCGCATATGTGATTAGAAAATGGAAAATGAGGGAAAGAGTGGAGGAGAGTGAGGCCAGAGAGGTTAAATGAGACCAGATCACATGTGAGCTGGTAGGTCATTGGTTTTCACAGTGAGATGGGGCGATTGATTGGAGGTCTTTGAACAGAGGGGGACATCAACCACTGACAGCTGCCTGGGCTAGGGTGATGAAGAGGTCATGAACAGGAGATGGCCTTGAGAGATTCCAAGGGGTAAAATAGGACTCGAGGATAAAGCAGATGAGGGAAGTGTCTAGGATGACATGCAGGGTTCTGATTCTTAACTATTTTGTTGTATCTCTAAAGAAATAGACATAGAGCAGAGGAGAATTCAGAAAGTTTTTTTTGTTTGTTTTTGAGACAGAGTCTCACTCTGTCATCCAGGCTGGAGTGCAGTGGCGAGATCTCGGCTCGCTGCAACCTCCACCTTCCAGGTTTATGTGATTCTCCTGCCTCAGCTTCCTGAGTATCTGGGACTATAGGCACCCGCCACCACGCCTGGCTAATTTTTGTATTTTGAGTGGAGACGGGCTTTCACCTGGTCTCAAACTCCTGACCTCAGGTGATCTGCCCGCCTTGGTTTCTCAAAGTGCTGGGATTACAGGCATGAGCCACTGTGCCCAGCCCAGAAAGTATTTTTGAGGCCTTTGTGCAGTGGCTTTATCAGAAACAAAGGAGCAAAAAATAGACAGGAGCTTGGGCTCCTACCTCATAATCAAGTTTTGCCTTGCATTTGTCCCAGAAAATTCACTGGATTAATTGGACTTCAGCACAATTGTCTTAATTTATAGCATTAAGTAAAATCTATATATGTCAAGATGCAAAGTGCAGGAATGTAATGGGGACTGTCACAGAGGCTGCTACATCTGCAGTATTCTTTCCTAACTGCCTAAGACCATGGGGGAGGACATGGTCTAAGAGCTATGCAGGAACTAGGAAGGGACCTGGGCCTCGACCAAAATTACATGAGAACACCATGTGTGCCAGGCAGTCCCTGAGTCCAGGGACTATTTTACTAACGACTAACACTCTACTCTACTAATCTATTTTAAAATTTCATTTTAATGGTTATCAAAATACTGCAGATACATTGATTTTTTTAAAAAAAAGTCAAACAGTCCTTATATTTGCTATGGATTGCACATGGCTGCAAGTAACAGAAAACCCGGTTGCTGGTAACATAAACTATAAGAATTGATTTTAATATTTTTGTGTTATTCACAACCAGAGGTCCAGACGTGAGCAGTTTGTTAAGTGGCTCAACAGCATCAGGTCAGATGTGTTTCCATTTTCTTGGCCTTTCCCTCATGATCACAAGATGGCTGCTGCAGCTCCTTAAGTCATCAATCACATCTGTGTTCCAGGCAGAAGGAAGGTAGCAAAGACTTTCCCAGAAATCCCCAGCAGGTTTCTGATTGTGTTATTGGCAAGAGCTGTGTCTTAATTACCCCCAGCTGCAAGGGAGTTTAAGATGGTGAGAGTTTTTCTTTTTTTTAGCTTTTCAGCCTGTATAGTAGAAAGTCAAGATAAAGGAGGTTGGGATGGGTGTCAAGTGGTCAGTATCCACCATGGTCCCCGTTCCCTGTCCCACCTCTCCTTATCCTGAGTTCTCACTCTCCTGAAGTAATTCTCTTCCTCCATTTTTCTAAATAAAATGTTTATTCTGTAATTTCTTGATTTTTTCCTCCATTCAGATACTGATTGTCTCTCAACTATGAAAGGTAAAGATATCTTCCCTCATCACTATCCCCACATGCCACGCACATGCCACACACACACACAGTCTTCACCACTTCATATTCCAAGTATAGATTGGTGCCATTTAAATTTTTAAATTATATTTTATTTCTACTTTATGTTTAATATTTTAAAATTATTTAAGTGACAAACAGTACCTTAGGTGATCAAGATCAACATCAATAGTGATAAAACATGTTGATAATATATGTACCATTGGTATGATGTAATGAAAATGGCACGTTACCATTGTGATCTTCCTCCTAAACACCCACAACTTAGGCTAATGGTGAGAAAAACATTAGACAAACCCCAGTTGAAGGACATTCTGTAAAATACTTGATCAGTACTGTTCAAAACCATCAAGGTCATCAAAAACAAGGAAAGTTTAAGAAACTGCCACAGTCAAGAGGAGCCTAAGGAAATACATACAAATAAATGCAGTATGGATTCCTGGATTGAATCTTAGAACAGAAAAAAATCATTAGAAGAAACTAAGGCAATCTTAATCACCCATGGACTTTAGTTGATAATAATGTATTGAGATTGGTCCATTAAATGTAACAAATTTCACGTCAGATAGTAATGTCAGATGTTAGTGATGGGGGAAACTGGATATGGAGCATATAGGAACTCCCTAAACTATATTATTAATTTTCCTTTAAACCTAAGACAGTTCTTTAAAAAGTCTATTCAAATATTGAATTAATATTTGATGGTTATATTATGATGATTGGGTTTTGTTGTTGTTGTTTTCTTGTTGTTTTGAGAGACAGGGTCTCACTTTGTCACCTAGGCTACAGTGCAGCGGCAGAATCATGGCTCACTGCAGGCTTGACCTCCCAGGCTCAAGCAATCCTCCCACCACAGCCTCCCAAGGTTCAGGGATTACCGGCATGGAGCCACCATGCCCAGCCTGATGATTGTTTATATTATTCACAACTGGGCCACTTCGTGTGCTATGACTATAACATTTTGTTTTTCCTAGAGTTAGCCATTGCCTCTTTTTTTTTGTCTTCTGTGTTCTTATCAATAACTCACCCCAGGCTCTCTGCTATTCTTATAAATCTCTCAATACATTCAAGAACACTGAGTAATTTATCAGTTTAATTTATTTTTTGGCTTCAAGTGCTACTGCATTGTCCTAATACTCCATTGTCGTAATACTCCCTCATTCAGATGGTAGCAGGGTTTTAAAACACTAAAGTAGTTTTAAATCTATCTTTTAAAAAAAAATCTCAATTTTACTGCTGGAGAAGGCTGTAGAATTCATCAGAGAAAGAATAGAAATTGGGCATTCCTCTAACCACTGAACAGTTCTTTCCTTCCAACACCTAGCTCCTCTTAGCACATTTCTTTGTGTATTACAGTCAGAAAATAACAGGATATTGGACTTTCCAGGGCTTTTCAGTCTTTGGTTTAGGACTCTCCCTTAGGCTGATGGACAACAATTATCATAATAGCTACCATTTCTTGCATATCGTCTGGATGCCAGGCACTGTGCCAGGCACTTACATGCAGGATCTTATGTGACCTGCATAGCAACTTACTAAATTTGTCACCTTGGGTGTGGCACATGCCCAGTGAAACACCATCCTCAGGATTATTGTTTCAACCTGCCAACTTTATTCATTTATCTCCCTGTCTAGCCCCCTAGATGCCATCTGAGGCTTTGACATTCTTCTCTAGGAAAGACCATATTTCCAAGTTCCAGATGGAAAATGGACTGGTTATGGCCAGTCCCTGTGGCTTCCTATGGCAGCTTAAAGGGCTCATCTTGCAGGATCCTGCCCTGGGCTCCCTCTTCCTCCTGTGTGCCGGATATGATGACAGCTGTCAAGAGGGACAAGGCATTTCAGGTGGGAAGTTTTCTAGATCCAAAATGGGGATCAGAAGTCACAACTCCAAGCACCAGGGCTTGCCCTGGGGCTGACTTCTCTTGAATCATTTCCTCTGAGATTCATGTTTTCCCATAAGAACCACTTGAATCCCCTCTTATTAGTCTCCCTCTGTCGTGAGCACTGGCCGCACCCCTGTTCCTGTGTGTAAATTCTCCTGCTTCCCCAAGGGCTGTTTCTTGGCTGAGGTTTATCAGGCATCAGAGCATCTACTCCACAAGGTCACATGACTCTGGCATCTTCCCACTCATGCATTTCTTTTTTAAAAAATTTTTATTTTATTTTATTTTATTTTATTTTTGAGATTGAGTCAGGCTCTGTCACCCAGGCTGGAGTGCAAAGGCATGATCTCTGCTCACTTGCAACCTCAACCTCTGCCTCTCGGGTTCAAGTGATTCTCCTGCCTCAGCCTCCAGTGTAACTGGGATTACAGGCACGCACCACCCCCGGCTAATTTTTGTATTTTTAGTAGAGGTGGGGTTTTGCCATGTTGGCCAGGCTGGTCTTGAACTCCTGACCTCAAGTGATTCACCCGTTTTGTCCTCCCAAAGTGCTGGGATTACAGGCATGAGCCATCACGCCTGGCCCCTACTCATGCGTTTCCATCTAGCCATGGCCAGGCTGCCTGCAGCCAGTGTAAAATACCAATCCATCTTGATCTATACACTTTTAATGAGCAACTACTATGTACCAGGCATTGGGCATTATTTCAGTGTTTCTCAAACTTCAGTCATTTGAATTCTGCTTCCCAGGTTTTCCAAGTTTCATCTGTACTACTTTTGACTTAATATTTTTCTTTAAATTGGCTCCTTTTTTGTTTCAATAAATTTATTTTGAAAAGGAACTTTAGAGCACTGCCATCAGTGAAAAAAACAGTAGACAGTAATATTTTTCAAAAGTAGACAGTAACCTTAAAATAAATGCATAACTATTAAAATAAAAACTTTTGCTCTCTGTCCCCCTAGTACCCACCAATGCTGCATATACCTGGAATGATGCTGCTTTTCACCCCATTCCCACAAGGTGGGTTTCATTGCCATCTCCATTCTACAGATGTGGGAACTAAGGTTCAGAGGGGTGAAGGGACTTGTCCAAGGAAAGAGGTTTGGAAAGTGGTGGGATCGAGGTTCAAATCCAGGTCTGTCTGGAATGAACACCAATGAGCCTCAACCACAAGGCTTGGGGTCTCTGAGGCCCAGTCTTGGTTCCCAAGGTGCATGCAAGGGTCTTCTGTCTTCCCAGTGGTGGTATGCATTGATTCCCCAGGATGATGAAAACTTGCTGTACCCCCTTCTCCATTTATCCACAGATAAAAGAGGCAGAGATTACCGTGAAAGCTTCCTGATGGTGTGAGAGAGTCACAGAGGTTCAATCTCACATCACATGACCCAGCTTTGTTCTCTGCCCATTCACTAACCACTATCTGTACTAATCTCTGGCGGGAGCTGATTGGACCAAGCTAGGCTCCTGGCTCCGGCTGGGCCAATCGGATTCTCTCCTCTACTCTCTCTTTCTCTGTCCTCTAGCTGGGCTTGGGTCAAGGTGAGGAGACAATCAGCCCAAAGCGGACCCCGAGTGGAAGGTGGTTGGTGTCCCAAAGGCAAATTAGGGTGCTGGTATCTGAGCAGGAAAAAGAGATATCAGGAAGGCCAAACAACAGACATTCCCTGTGGGCATAAAGTTGGTACTTGCAAAACAGCGCCAATACCTGGATATTCCTGTTACCAGAAAAACAAAGAGCTGGATCGCCTTCCCAGTTTCTCGGAAGGACACCGTGGTGTTTCTGAGGGAAGGTCATCAGGGCCCAGAAAAGTCGTTTTCTTTTCAGCCCCCACCCCGACCCTGGTTCCCTGAAAAGGTTGGAAGAGCTCCATCCCGGCCCTGTGGTGATGCCAGGCGATTATGTCCAGGGCACCACGTCTGGACTAGTTGACCGAGAGATCTCGAGATCCCTTCTCTCTCACCACAAACCTCAGCCAAGAAACAGCCCTTGGGGAAGCAGGAGAATTTAGACACAGGGACAGGGGTATGGCCCGTGCTCAGGAAAGAGGGAGACTAACGAGAGGGCATTGGCAAAGAGATGGTGATCCCTTTCCTTCCCCACTCCCCTCCACACCCCCCCCCCTTTTTTTTTGAGATAGGGTCTTGCTCTGTCAGCCAGGTTGATCTCAAGTTATCCTCCCGTCTCGGCCTCCCAAAGTGCTGGGATTACAAGCATGAGCCTCCCCACACAGCTTTTCTTTTCCCCTTGTTCTCTCCCTCCCTCCCTCCCTTCTGCCTCTCTCTCATTCCCCCTCTCTTTCTATCCCTCTCGGTAGCCCAGATTCTCCCTTCCCACACACGTGGCCTAACACCACTTCCCCACGGCGCCCAAATTTCCTTCCTTTAGAGGTCTCAGTGCAGCTTGAGTAGAGGAGAGAATCCGATTGGCCCAGCCAGAGCCAGGAGTCCATCTTGAGCCAATCAGCTCCAGCCAGGGTGGGGGTCACGTGATTTCCAGCCCAGTGATTTCAGGCGAAGGTGCCCAGGTCTCAGGAAGAGGGTGGTAGGGCCCAGGCTCCCGTCCGGAGAGAAGCCGTTAAAATCCACCACCCTCCAGCTTCAATCTAGTGACTTTTAAATTTCTATATTCAAATCAGGCCTCTCTCTCGGGGCATGTGTGTGGCGGAGAGTGTGAGGGCTGCCTTCCGAGTGATAAAAAAGAGATTTAATAACATTGTTCAAATGTGGGAAAATGACACTGCGCCGTCCTTGTGAGAAGACAGGACTGCCCGAGCCACCGCTCAGCTCTGCTCAGAACTCCTGGGCCTGAGATAACATTGATTTGGGCGCTTGCATCACACATGTGCCACATGACGGATTGCTGGACGTTGACAGCATGGCTCCGCTACTAAAAACATATGACTCCATATGGAACGCCGTGGTGTGGGGTGGAAATCCTGGACGGCTCCAGGCTGCAGATGGCCATGTATAATTCACGGGATTTGTAAGACTCTGCATCTGCTCCGTTGCTCATTCTTCAGTTGTCAGACAGACATAATCCCGAGCCTCTTATTTTATAACACAGATCTGCCAACGGGAGTGGGGAGGGGAGCCGGGGAGGCAGAGCCGCTGCCAGGAGAACTCAGAAATAATTTGGGGAGAACATTCGGCATGTCAGCGAGGACAGAAGCGCGCACCGCAGGAAGCCCAGGCAAAGTTGGAAACAGGGCTGCCGGTTCCCTGGTCCCTCCCTGGAGGCCGGTTCTTGAAGAGGCTTCTGGAAGGGGGTGTGCTTTGATCTTGTCTCTGCCTTCAGCTTCACCATAGCATTTAGGCTTAACCTGGATCGGCCTCACGGGTGAGCCAGCAGGCCAAGTGTCAGGATATTGAGGCATTTTGTACATGAAGTCTGCCTCTCTTAGAGGCTGTGTCATTGTCAGATTGTCGCACTATGTGACCAGCAAAGGTTAGAATTTTTGCACCACTACCTTAGGAAGCTTTTCCTGACTCTTCTTCACTAAATTAGGGACCTGTGGCAGTCATTGCTGGTAACCCATAGCTTCTCTAGGCCCTCACTGGAGCCATCTGCACACAGTTTTGGTGCAAGCCCCGGGGTTCTTCCATCTGCTTGGCTGGGGGCTTTTAATATTCTTTAGATGCCAGAGCTCGCTGGGTCCGTGCATGGGGACAGGCCAGAGTGCCAGGGAGTTGATGTCCCCAGGAGCAAATCTCAACCAACAAGACACAAGAGGTGGTGGCTAAACATCCCAGCATCTCACCCCTCCTGGGGCAACATCGAGATGTGTTCTGCACAGTTTCCTAGAGGGTCCTTGGTTGGGGGGTGGCAGGGTTGTGCCCTAGTTGCCACAGCATAAAGTCTGTTTAGTAACACACGCTTCAACACATATTCTCTCCCCTGTCTAACTTCCCGAATTCCCCTACCGTCACTTCCTGGGATTACCTCCCCCAAATCTATATGCTCTCAAATTCTTGCTTTAAGGTTGGCTTCTGGGGGACCAAAATTAAGATAGGGACACTCTTTCATGCTTTCTCAGACCTGGAGATTTCTTCTGCCATAACATCGATCACATTTGGTTGCCATGACTTGTTTAACTTTCTACCTCCTTGTTGCTCTATGGGATCAGAGACTGTCTGTCTTATTCCCTTCTGTAGCCACAGTGCCTGTCACTTGGTAGGTGCATAATAAACATTTGTTGAGGTCCTCCTGGCCTCCCCACTTACCAGCTATAGAATCTTTGGCAAGTCACTTAACATGTCTCAGCCCCATCCATTCCCTCATTTGTAACACATGGACAATAATATCTACCTCACTAGTTTGTGGAATTGCAGTGAAGATTAAATAAAAGGATGATGGAGGAAAAGCTTAGTAAATTCTGAAATGCTCAACCAAAGTAAGGACCCTACTAAGTCAGAATTTCTAAAACTGTCACTGCACTGGTTTACATGAATCAATTTCAGATGATACCCAGAAGCAATCTTATTGAACTAATTGCATGTTTATTTGAATTAAAATAGAGAAAAAATATAAGCAGCCACTCAAACTCAGATGTATTAATTAGGGATGCATTTGGTTTCAAATAACAGAAAACTCAACAAGTAGTGGCTTAAACAAGTAAGGGTTAAATGTTTTCAGTTAACAAGATTTTTGGACTTCAACAGTCCAGGGTTGGTGCAGCTATCCAAGGACATTGCCAAAGACCTCGTCTTCTAAGGCCAGGGGTAGTGGATCATGCCTGTAATTCTAGCACTTTTGGAGATTGAGGCAGGATTGCTTCAATCGAGGAGTTAAGAGACCAGCCTGGGTAACATAGCAAGACCCCATCTCTATTTAGGGGTGGAGAAAAAAGACCTAGTCTTCTAGCTTCCTTCTTTCATCCTTAGCATGAGGCTTTTATCCTTATAGCCTCAAAATGATGGCTCTACCTCCAGGCATTGCATCCTCATTCCAGGGAGGAAAAAGGGAAAGAGAGGAGGAAAAAGGATATACTATCTGAGTCTGTCCACCACCATCATTACCACTACCACTATCGCAATTTTTAAATTAGGAAAACAAGGAGTTATCTGGGAACTCCACCCGACAGACTTCTGCCTACATTTCATTGACAAGAGCTATGTTCCCTGACTACTCTTAACTACATGGGAGTCTGAGAAAGCTTATTTATTTATTTATTTATTTATTTATTTACTTTGAGCCAGTGTCTTGCTCTGTAGCCCAAGCTGGAGTGCAGTGGTGCAATCATGGCTCACTGCAACCTCAACCTCCCAGGCTCAAGTGATCCTCTTGCCTCAGCCTCCCAAGTAGCTGAGATCACAGGTATGCACCACTATGCCTGGCTAATTTTTTTGTTTTTTGTAGAGATGAGGTCTCCCTGTGTTGCCCAGGCTGGTCTCATACTCCTGGGCTCAAGTGATCCTTCTGCCTTGGCCCCTCCCAAAGTGCTGGGATTTGAGAGTAAGTTTTTGCCAAGTACAATGCTAATCACTTAGCGGGTCCTCATGGTTATTTTTTTACCTAAATGAAGTTCAGGCTGCAAATGTACCTGTTATGGGTTAAATTGTATCCCCCCAAAAGCTATGCTGAAGCCCTAACCCCCAGTGCCTCAGAATGTGACTGTTGGGAGACAGGGTCTTTCTAGAGGTAATTAAGTTAAAATAAGGTCACGAAGATGGGTCCTATCCAATACAACGGGTGTCCTTATAAAGAGGGGAAATTCAGACACAAAGACACACACAGGAAGAGGGTCATGTGAAGAAGAAGATGGAGATCGGGGTGCTGTTTCTACCAGCCAAGGAACACCATGCACTGCCAGCAACCCAGAAGCCAGGGAAGCGGCCTGGAACAGATTTGCCTTCACAGCCCTTGGGGGGAACCAACGCTGCCAATACTTTGGTCTTAGATTTCTGGCCTCTAGAACTGTGAGACAATACATTTCTGTTGTTTAAGCCACCCAGTGTGTGGTACTTCGTTATGGCAGCCCTAACAAACTAATACATCACTCTTCTTCCATCTTATTTTGTTATTGTTGGATTTTTTTTTGTCTTTCCCCCAATATTTTCTTTTCTTTTCTTTTCTTTTCTTTTCTTTTTTTTTTGAGACAGAGTCTCACTGTGTTGCCCAGGCTGGAGTTCAGTGGTGCCATCTCGGCTCACTGCAACCTCTGTCTCCCGGGTTCAAGCAATTCCCCTGCCTCAGCCTCCTGAGTAGCTAGGATTACAGGCATGCACCACCACACCTGGCTAATTTTTTTGCATTTCTAATAGAGATGGGGTTTCACCATATTGGCCAGGCTGGTCTCAAACTTCTGAGTGATCACTTCAAGTGATCTGCCTGCCTCATCCTCCCAAAGTGTTGGGATTACAGTTGTGAAGCACCACACCAGGCCTCCCCCAGTATTTTCTTATGAAAAATCCCAAATATACAGAAAAGTAGAAAGAATTGTGGATACCCATGTACCCACCTTCTACATTTTGTTATAATGTTAATTTTGATACGTTTAAGAAGTGCTCTGGCCTGACATAGTGTCTTACACCTGTAATCTCAGCATTTGGGAAGGCTGAGGCAGGAGGATCATTTGAAGCTGGGAGTTCAAGACCAGCTTGGGCAACATAGTGAGATTCCGTCTTTGCAAGATTTTTTTTTCTACAAAATTTTTAAAAAATTAGCCAGGTTTAGTGGCACACACCTGTGATCCCAGCTACTTGGGAGTCTGAGGCAGGAGGATCACTTGAGTCCAGGAGGTCGAGGCTGCAGTGAGCTATGATCTCACCACCACACTCCAGCCTGGGTGACAGAGCAAGACCCTGTCTCAAAAAAGAAAAAAACAAAGGGTGATGTCTGCCACTGGGACCTTTCCCGAGGCCCTTCTCTGTGCCCAGCACAGTGCTAGACACTTTACATGCAAAGCATCAGTCAGGTTTCTCATTGGCAGGCCATAGACACCCACCTAGCTGGACTGATTTAAGCAGATGAAGAATTAACGGAAGGACGTGGAGTCGCCGCAATATCATGTGGAAGAAGCAGCAGCTTCAGAAGGGGAAAAGGGCCTAAGGGGGACTATGCATCCCCAAGCACAGCCAAAATCACACCCCAAGCCAGCCTGGTGAAGGCTCCTGTGCTAACCACTGACCTAGGCGTTGCTGACTGTGTCCCCCACTGCTGGAGCTGGATGTGACTGCCATTGCTGATGCCCCCCAATAATATGTTTCCCTGTCCTGGTTTCTTCAAACCTCAGCTCCCATTTCAAAGTCTGAGGCCAGTACACCTGATTGCTGAGCCCATGTCATATAACCTATGACACAGGACACCCTGGCAGCCAGGGAGACTGGGAGAGCAAAGGCCAGGCTTCCAACTTCCTAAGAGAGATGAGGGTTCTGCCTTCCCATCCCCCATGACTGATACAGCCAAGAATTCCCAAAATGTAGAAAGGGACTTCAGATACCAAATGGCAAAAGAAGTGACAATACCTTCTATGTAAATTCTTATTTAACCCTCATAGTAATTCAGTGAAGTAGGCCTGATCATGACGACCATGTTATAGCCAAGAAAACTGAAGCTAATAGCTGTTCTAGGTCACACAGTGTAACAGTTCTAACCAGGATTGCAACCCAGGCAGTCTGTCAAGAGTCCACACATTTTCCATGACATCTCCCAAAGCCGCCATACTGCTCAACTCCAGTGGGAGGGTCCACTTACATTGAATGCTGAAGCTGTGCAGCCCAGTAGCCCCAATTCATCTCCCAGCCCCAGGAGCCTGAAAGTTTTTGTCCATTGAGCTGACATTATGAGGTCAATACACCTTAAAATTCAAGCAGGAAGTGTGTCATTTGAGGAGTGTGTTACAGACCCAAACAGTAGCCATATTCAAAGCCTTCCCTGGCCCAGCCTTGATGAATGGGGCCAGGAACCTACCAATAAACAAAATAATTCAGTACATTATTTTCCTATTATCTTTTCACTGTGTGAGAAATAATCCCAAAACTTAGTGGCTGAATACAGCAACCACTTTTATATTGCACAATTTTGTGGGTCAGCAAATCAGGCAGGGCTTAGCTGGGTGATTCTTCTGTTCTACATGGTGTTGATGGAGATCACTCAGGAGTATTCAGCTAGCCAGTGGCTTAGCCCAGAGGGTCCACTCCCATGTCTGGTACCTTGCTAGGGATGGCTGGAAGGCTGGGCTCTGCTAGGGTCCCCCAACTGAGGCTCCAACATGTGGCTTCTCTAGCATGGTGGCAATTACAATCCCATCCTGATTCAAATGATAAGCACGAAAGACCTCACTTCTCAATGGTGAACTGTCAAAAACTTTGCAGTCATGTTTTAAAACCCACATCCATCTAGAGAGATGTTATCTGCTACCTAGCCTGTCCTGTCCCTGTAAGCAGAGAGGAGAAAGAAGTTTCTTATCTCTGCATCAACAAAGAGAAAAAATGAAATCAGAAAACACATTACTCTGTGACCTGCTTTGATCCCAGGCAGTGAAGGCTTCTTTGGCCACACACTGCAGACAGGACAGATAGCAGACAACAGATCATAGCACCAGATGATTGCTACAACTGGCTGTCTTCCTTCTGCACCATCACAGTCCCTGACATTTTGACTTTGAGTGACCCAGTCACCCTTCCTCCCATCCCTGCTTAGCCCAAACCTCCCACCCTCGGTCTCCAGGCTGAACAAACTATCTTACTTGGGGACAATGGAAGCTTTTGTCGTCTTTTCCTTCCTCGTGTGGGCCACTGTCTGTACGAGAATCCAGATTACCCTTGAGGGCCACGCTAGTGATTACCTCTGAGAATCTCTTCATACCAGCCTCTCCTGGAAGTGAATCAGGGCTGCACAAAGGGAAGAATGTTATCACGGTAAACCAGGACGAGCCTGGCTTGGCTCGGTTGCAGAAAACACACTTCACTCATGCAGAACACGCCAAATTGAAAAGATCGTGGGTTAATCAAATCCTTTTCTCCTCTGTTTTTATCAAACTCAAGAGGGGCTGGCCTATTAATTAGAAACGCTTTTTCATGTAAAACACGGGCACTTTGGAGATAAGGAGGGAAGACCCTTGATTCTACAGTCACAATGATGTTTCAGTTATTTCATTACAAGGCGCCACATTCATCGCTGGCCCTATGGACGCAGCGCAGACCTCCCATCACTCTCGTGGAAAAACTCCCTGAGATTCAGAAAGTTTCTCTGGCAGCAGACAAGGGCAAGAGAGTTTCTTTTACTACAGACCAGATGCATTGAAGATCTCACATTTCTATCCAATGCTAACAGAAAAACTTAGCAGGCTTTTATTCTGTGTTGTCTGATTACAGCAGCCACCGGCCTTGTGTGGCTATTTAAATTTAAATTAATTAAAATGAAAAATTCAGTTTCTCAGTCCCACTAGCTGCATTTTAAGAGTCCAGTAGCAATGTCATAGCTTGTGGCTTCTATACCAGACAGCACAGATAAAGAATGTTTCCATCATTCCAGAAAATTCTTTGGAACTTCTCACACCAAGCTCACAACACCTCTTATTTGTCATTTGAGAAAACTGAGAACAGAAAATCAGAATGGCTTGATATGATGCATCTCTTCTACTGGAAAAAGAGGGGAAAACCCCTACTACATTTCTGCAGCAACACTTCTTGGTGTGCTCTGCCTGGTGTCCACTTCTCTCCTTTTGGAAAAAGCACCTGATTTAGTCACCCTTCTCCTACTCTCTGTCCACATGGTTCAGGCAGGGCTAACCCTACTGCCCGGCCCAGGGGCACGCCCAAGACCTACTCCTGACCAATCAGCCACCTCCTTTCCCTTGGCCATGGTGACTGAGTCAGTGAAGTCTCAATAGGAGTGAGCCCTGGGACTTTTGCTGGGAGGAGTCAGGCCCTCTTCCTGTTGGGGTTGCCAAGGTGGTAGGATAAGTCAGGAACTGCTGGGGCCTTTGCACATTACCCTGGAGAGGGTTGGCCTGTGAATGCCTCCATCGCAGAAGAAAGTGGAGTGGAGCAGAGAGGGTGGCGGGTGGGGAGTGGGGAAGAAAGAGTCTTGGTGACACTGTAGGCCTCTTGGCTGTAGCTGTGTTTGATGACAGATCTACCCCCTGAACTTCCCAGTCACATGAGCTGATAAATATCTTCATGCTTAGGCCAGTTTAAGTTGGGTTTCTGTCATGTACAGCCAGAAGAATTCTGATTATGTTCCAAGAATGATGATCCATTTACACACACAAAAAAATTAAAAGGATGCTATTTTTTTCTCTTCCTACATATTTTCATTCTCAAGCCATTATTAAGATGCACTTCATGGGATAGGAGGTTATCAGTTCCATATGGGTCTCACTGGCTGCCCATAATTCGACCACGGAATCGTCTAACGTAGAGGAGCCAGTCCCATAGGCTGAGGCTCCACCAACCAGCTTCTCTTTCTTGAGAATTTGGATAAAGTTGAAACAAAGACTGAGTTGGCAGAGTCAAGTCAATGGGAGCATTAGACTGAGAGGCCATGAACTTCGACTGCTGAGAACACTGAAGTTGCTCTGCTCTCACCCTTCCTAAGGTCTGTGTCCTTTTAATAAACCACCTTGAATTTGAGCTAGTTCAAGTAGCGATCTATTCCTCACAACCAAATATGACTGGTTCAGAGAATGTCAAAAGCCTGAAAAGTGTTTTATTTAGATCAAACAATTCTACCTCTAGGAATTTATTTCCAAAAAATAATCAAAGTATAAGTTCAAAGATTTAGCTATGAGCATATTTAATATAGTGCTCTTTATCCTAGTAAGAAGTTGGGAGAAATTATACATAATACTAGAGGCTCTCTTAAATACATCCTGAGACACAAAGTCACTCAGTAAATGCTTGCTGAGTGAAGAATGAAATACACAATAATCATACAATTATATTGGAGAAATATATTTATTAACGGAATATAATTGTGATGTGTTAAATTAAAAAAGATTAAGAAATGGCATACTCTGTACAATCTCATTAAAAAAGAGATTCATCATACACTTGCATATGCATAGAAGAAGATTTGGAAGCTGGGCCAGGTGGCTCATGCCTGTAATCCCAGCACTTTGGGAGACTGGAGCAGGAGGATCACTTGAGCCCAGGAGTTCAACAGCAGCCTGGGCAGCATAGCAAGACCCCATCTCTGAAAAAAAACTAGCAGGGCATAATGGTACTCATCTGTAGTTGCTGCTATTCAGGAGGCTGAGGTGGGAGGATCACTTGAGCCCGAGAGGCTCAGTGAGCCATGATTGCACCACTGCATTCCAGTCTGGGTGACAGAGCAAGATTCTGTCTCAAAAAAAAATTTTTTTTTTGAAAGAATCATTAGCACCAAAATGTTAATAGTAATAGCGCCTGAGGAGGCAGAACTATAGTTTGTGTGTGCGTGTTTCAAACATTTTCTTCTTTCTGCTTGTTTGGTTAGTTTTCATGTTGATTTCTGGTAATGAACATTGCTCTTATGATAAGGGAGCACCAGCCTCCTCCTCCCTTGTATAAAATAGTCAAATGGTGTGTTTACATTAAAACAGTATTATACCTCCAAAGGGGCCGGGTGCAGAGGCACATGCCTGTAATTTCAGCACTTTGAGAGGCCAAGGTGGGCAGATCACTTGAGGTCAGGAGTTTGAGACCAACCTGGGCAACATTGCAAAACCCTGTATCTACTAAAAATACAAAAATTAGCCAGGCTTGGTGGTGCCCGCCTGTAATCCCAGCTACTCACGAGGCTGAGGTGGGAGAATCGCTTGAACCCAGGAGGTGGAGGTTGCAGTGAGCCGAGATAGTACCAGTGCACTCCAGCCTGGGCGACAGAGCGAGCCTCAGTCTAAAAAGAAACAGAAAACAAAAACCCTCCAAAGGAACTTAAGTTCTGGGACTACCATGCCAGACTTTTCAGTTAATCTTGATAATTACAGACTGGACAACACTTTCAGAAAGAGGGTCTCCATTCACCTCCCTCCCATTCCCCACTCCTCCCGCCACCACATCATGTGATTCAGGAGGAAGACTGGTTAAGAGCAGAGATTTTGGAATTCAAATCCCTGCTTTGCCGCTTCCTAGGTTTGTAATTTGGGGCAAGTTGCAGGATCTGTTTAGGCCTCAGTGTCTCCACCTGGAAAATGGGGGTAATAAGTGTATATGCCACAGAGAGTTGCCAGAGGCTCCAACAAGCAGATACAGCTAAAAGGCCTAGCACCGCGTCTGGCAAGTAGCCAGGGCTCCCCAAACATTATTATTGCCACTGATAGGGGGGCGTAGTGGGGTGATGGGAAACAAGAGAATTCCTGTAGGACCCAGCATTTCTACTCCTGGGTACATCCCAAAAGAATTTAAATCAGGGACTCAAGCAGATGTTGCCATTCTGATCATTTCTGAGTATACTATTCAGTGGCCTTAAGTACATTTGCTTACTTTGGTTAGTTTTCATGTTGATTTCTGGTAATGAACATTGCTCTGGTAATGAACATTGTATAATCAGAAATGGTCAGAATGGCAATATCTGCTGGAGTCAGTGTTGTGAAACCATCACCACTATCTCTTTCCAACACTTTTTCATCATACCCACTAAGCAATGCCAATATTGTTCATGGCAGCACTGCTGGCAGCAGGTCTTCATCCTCACAGTCTTCACGATGAAGGGGTTGGTCCTGCTGTCTCAGGAGTGGCAGAGGTGGAAGAAAAAAGTGGAAATGACCCAAGTGTCCAGCAACAGGTGAACGAATAAGCAAAATGTGGCCCCTCTGTACAGTGACATATTATTTAGCCATGAAAAAGAATAAAGTCCTGATTCTGCTAAAGTGTGGATGAACCATGAAAACATTGTGCTAAGGGGGAGACACAGAGACAAAAGCCATATATTGTATGATTTCATATACAAGTGTCCAAAAGAGATAAATCCATAGAAACAGAAAGTAGACAGTAGATTAGAGGTTACCAGAAGCTGGGAGGAAGGAGGGAGGGGAGGAATTATCGCTTAATGGGTAAGGCTTCCAGTCCGCAGTTGATTAACACATATGTTCTATGTTACATGTATTATATACTATATTCTTACAATAAAGTAAGTTAGAGAAAAGAAAATGTTATTAAGAAAATTATAAGGATGAGAAAATATATTTACCGCGCATTAAATGGAAGTGGATCATCATAAAGGTCTTCATCCTCATGGTCTTCATGTTGAGTGGGTGGAGGAATAAGAGGGGTTGGTCTTATCTCACGGGTGTCAGAGATGGAAGAAAATCCATGTGTAAGTGGACCCAGGCAGTTCAAACCCATGTTTGAACAGTCAACTGTACAAGGAAACTTTAAAACATGTTGTGATGTCCCCCACATCCCAATACTGTTTTGGAGAAAGGTACTTGCATTTGCATTATGGAAATTATTTGTATTATTTCAAACATTTGGAGCATCTGCTTGCCTGGTACCCTATGCATAATTGAATATTTTCTCAATGGTTGGAAGAGTGTTCTGGACAGAGGGAACAGCAAGTGCAAAGGCTCAGAGGCAGGGTGGGCTTGGCTTCTACTAGGAATTTTCTGTCCTTGAGTGGTGGGGCCACAGGATGGGAGGCCAGATGTGAAGCTGGATAGGTAGGCAGGACCCAGTCATGAAGAGGCTTATGGGTCATTTGAAGAGTTTCAACTTGACCTTCAAGGCAATGGGAAGTCATTGAGAGGATTTAAACTGGGAGATGACATGCTACAGCATTTTTAAAAAGGCCTTCTTTTAGAGTCAACAAAATGAGATATTATTAGCCACAGTGGCTAGGGAAATTGCTTTTTAAAAAAACCCCGCAGGCACGATTTTTAGCTTGACAGTATTTTGCAGACATTCTGGAGTGGGTTTTTTTTTTTTTTAATTCATTATGCTGACACTAACTATCAAACCCCATTCCCTTGAGCTCAGCTGTGTTGTAGCTGAAAACTTGCTCAGTGTGTTTACTCCACACAGCACCCAATTTTCCAAATCTCTGCAAATTTGCCCTTAACTGTAAAATACCGGGTACAGAGCATCTTCCCACTCCACCCAAATTATCCCCCTTGGCGTGTGCTAACAGTCTGATGCTATGATTGTTGTTATGATGGGAAAGACTGAAGCTGTGTCTTTGTAAGCCTTTCTGGAGGAACCTGTGGGAGTTTTCTGCTTTAACTTTGTTGATGTCACAGATGAGGGTCATTGGACAACTCATTCACCCTCTGTAGCAGTCAGGGAGACTGGATTATGCTGCAGCAACAAACATCTCCTAAGTCTCCATGGCTTACAACCATACAGGTTTATTTCTTGTTCAGGTTCCATGTCAATGGTGGGTAGCTTGAGGCTCTGTTCTGTCATCTTCTTGTTGGGATCTAGTGGCGTGGCCTCTGTCTGCAACGGCAGAAGGAAATGGGAACATGATGAACCATGTGTTGGCTCTTAAAGCTTTTGCTGAGAAAAAAAAAGGAAGCCATCATTCACCTAACCTTTCACTCTGCCTGTGCTGACCACCTTTTAGGCATTCTTAATAGTATCCCAAATAATTATAACGATAATGAAAGTCATTATACTATTTCCCATTCACTGAGGGCCTACAGTGTCCCTGTGTCCTACAATAGTGCCTTATGTGGCACAACTCATGTAATCCTATGCAACAGGTGTTCTTATTATCAAAAAGATGGAAGCTTACAAATTTCTCAAAGCTTCCATCTCCTTTTCGTTGGATGAGTGATAATAAAGTTAAGAGACTTGCCTAAAATTAACAGCTGGTATGTGGGTGGAGCTGGGATTCAAGGTCACACAGTATCAGTCCAGAGCCCATGCTCCCAACTGGCAAGTCTTTTCTTTCTCTTTTTTTTTTCTTTTTTTTCTGAGACAGAGTCTCTCCCTGTCACCCAGGCTGCAGTGCAGTGGCATGGTCTTGGCTCACTGCAACCTCTGCCTCCCAGGTTCAAGTGATTCTCTTGCCTCAGCCTCTCGAGTAGCTGGGATAACACGCACGCACCGCTATGCCCAGTTAATTTTGTATTTTTAGTAGAGACGCAGATTTACCATGTTGGCCAGCCTGGTCTCAAACTTCTGACCTCAGGTGATCCTCTCGCCTCAGCCTCCCAGTGTTGTGATTATAGGCGTGAGCTACCACACCCGGCCTATTTTTTCTCTTTTTCATCAATCCTCTCTATACCCATTGGTCCCATTATTTATAGCATCCATCACCTCCTTTCTAGTTCTTTACCTATGTCAAGCCCTATTACTTCTCACTTGGGCTATTGCAGTACCCTCTTGCCTGGTTTCCCAGCCTTCAGGCATTGCCTCATCTTGGGCACACTGCTATATTTCTCTCTGGGAAGCATGGGTTTGATAACACTCCTCTTCTGCTGAAGCAACTCCAGTAGCTTCCCATGGTCTACTAAAACAAATGGCAATTTGGCATCCAAGCCCTCCATGATCTGACCCCAGCCCATGGAACCCCAGTTTGTTCTTCCTGTGTTGTTGTTAGATTGCACTAATTGTGTGAGATCACTCTTTACATTCTTGCCTTCATCCTTAGAGATTCTCATGCTTCCTCCCAAATTCACATTGAAACTCTGCATGATTGTTACTTGAGTATGAATGTTAGCTTTCCTTCTAGATTATGAATTCTAATGAGGAGTAATATCATGATGGGGGGCAATGCATAAAAGTAATTTAACAGTGCTCCTTAAAAATAAGCTAAGAGGAGCAAAGAACACAACACTTTCTGCCAACAAACAAAGCCAATAGTACAAAGGACAGCAAAAAATAGAGAAATTTTAGCACAAACTTGCATTGTAAAGAAACTAACTTGCATACATCTATTTTTAAATTAAGGTATAACATGATAAAGAGCACATATCCCTATGTGTTCAATTCAATGAATGTTGACAAACATTACATACGCCTATGTGACCAGCACTCACATCAAGATACAGGCTGGGCATGATGGCTCATATCTGCAATCCCACCACTTTGGGAGGCTGAGGTGGGAGGATTGCTTGAGCCCAGGAGTTTCAGACCAACCTGGGCATCATAATGAGACTCCTGTCTCTACAAAAAGATAAAAAAATTAGCTGAGCATGGTGGTGTGCACCTGTAGTCCCAGCTACTTGGGAGGCTGAAGCAGGAGGATCACTTGAGCCTGGGAGGTCAAGGGTGCAGTGAGCTGTGGTTGCACCACTGCACTCCCAGCCTTGGCAACAGAGCAGGACCCACTCTCTGTCTCTCAAAAAAAAAAAAAGATACAGAGTATGTCTAGCACCCGAGATGTTTCCCTCACACCCCTTGACCACCTTACCAGAGGGAAACGTAATTTTGACCCTCATTCATTTTGCGTGTTCTTTCCCTTCACACAAATGAATTCATACAATCTCTGGCTTCTTTCACTCAATATAATGTCTGTCTCACATAGTTTTGATTACAGCATAAAGCATAAAATAATTTGCACAAACTTAAAAGAAAAAGGCATTATTAAAATGATGATTTTCGGTCAGGCACGGTGGCTCATGCCTGTAATCCCAGCACTGTGGGAGGCTGAGGCAAGCGGATCACTTGTGCTCAGGAGTTCAAGACCAGCCTGGCCAACATGGCGAAACCTCGTCTCTACTAAAAATACAAAACTTAGCCGGGCATGGTGGCGGGTGCCTGTAATCTCAGCTACTCGAGAGACTGAGGCAACAGAATTGCTTGAACCTGGGAAGTGGAGGTTGCAGTGAGCCGAGATCATGCCATTGCACTCCAGGCTGGGCGGCAGAAGGAGACTCCATCTCAAACAAAAAAAAAAGAGATGATTTTCATCAAGAAAGAACGTGGAGGATCTTATAAGCACTCCCCAGTAGCATGATGGTACAATGATGAAAGGAACCAGAAATTTGGGTTTAATTTAATCCTAGGGCAAATAGCACATTAAAAGTTTTATTAAAGACATTAGGTGTATGAATTGGGTGGAGGGGTGAGAGGGAGCAAAAGAAGGAAGGGTTTGTAGTTTTGTGTAAATGTGCAGATCCGAGCATGGTCCAAAGTACTGGAGTGAGGCATTTCCTCCACCACAGCGCCCAACTTGCGTGGGCTTCGGTGGAGGAAGGAAATTCTGGCCCGTAACCAGGATGAGGGTTGAGCTCTGGGGCACAGCTGGGCAGACCCCTGACAAGGAGCCGGCCTCCTCTAGAAGCCAATGCCTGACCCTGGCATGCCTGAGCTGGCAGAGTTGTTCCAGGCCTATCACAAAGCTCCTTCTCACTGTTCTTTCTTAAATGCAATGACAGTATTTCAGAGCTGAAATTACCGAGGAGGCAGAAAGTTCAAGGATCAGGTTAGTTTTCCAGCTAATTTCATGTGATTGTGTCTACAGGGTAATTACTATCGGCCTCGGAGAAATTTGCTGTATTTCTTTACTGAAAAGCCTTGTTTCTGCATATGTGGAAGTGGAGGGGGAGACAGATGAGCTCACATCCAGCTGGGTGTGGCGTGTCACACTCAGAGCCTATCCCAGTGATATGCACACAGTAGGTGCTTACTAAGAGCTTGCAGAGTGGAAGAGAGAGAGAGACAAAGGGAGAGGAAGAAATAGAGAGACAGGAGGGAGGACGGAAGGCAGGTGGGAAGAGAGAGAAAGTGGAGGAACAGACATGAGGAAGGAGTGAGGCAGGGAGGGCTGGTTGGCTGGCAGAGAGACAAGGGCCCTCCTCACCCAGGTGAGTGGCTGCAGACCCAGGTGCCCAGTGGTAGGGACATGAGCTCCAGGCCAATGGCTGCTCCCACCTCCACCCCTCAGAAACACAGACCTCTGCTGCCTCCTGATAGCGCCAGCATCCCTGTAAGCATCCTCTGAAGAAGCTTCCAGAACGAAGAAGCTGTCCTGATCCAAACTGCTATGAAACTTGGGACAGGGGACCAGGCATGGTGGCTCACGCCTGTATTCCTAGAACTTTGGGAGGCTGACGTGGGTGGATTGCTTGAGGCCAGGAGTTCGAGACCAGCCTGGCCAACATGACGAAAACCCATCTCTACTAAAAATACAAAAATTAGCTGGGTGTGGTGGCGCATGCCTGTAATCCCAGCTACTTGGGAGGCTGAAACACAAGAATTGCTTGAACCTGGGAGGCAGAGGTTGCAGTGAGCCAAGATTGTGCCACTGCACTCCAGCCTGGGCAACAGAGCAAGACTCTGTCTCAAAAACAAGCAAACAAACCTGGGACAGGGGACATCTGTAAAATGGACATCACAGGGCCCAGTTCCCCAGTTCTCCTCAACACCCTCTCTAACACTTACCCACTTTATCCACAGACAATACCTGCTGGCCCCTAAATGTCAATGGGGCCTGCGACCCCTGGTCTAGAGGCCACGTGTTTTTGTTCTCCACTGAATGACAAGGTGTCATTTCCAGGCTTCATAGAAATGTGCATCAGGCTGGGCGCGGTGGCTCATGCCTGTAATCCCAGCACTTTGGGAGGCCGAGATGGGTGGATCGCCTGAGGTCAGGAGTTCGAGACCAACCTGGCCACTACACTGGTGGTGGCCCATCTGGCGAAACCCTGTCTCTACTAAAAATACAAAAATTATCTGGAGGTGGTGGCCTGCACCTGTAATTCCAGCTACTCAGGAGGCTGAGGCAGGAGAGTCGCTTGAAGCCAGGAAGCAGAGGTTGCAGTGAACAGAGATCACACCACTGCACTCCAGCCTGGGCCACAGAGTGTGACTCTGTCTCAAAAAAAAGAGAAAAAGAAATGTGCACCAGATTCCTGACCACACACCCGGCATCTTGGGACACACAGAGTGGTAGAGGCAAATCTGCAGATTCTACAGCAGAAATTTTTCATCCTCCGTTTATTCTTTCTATGATCATCACCAAATATTGAGGAGCTTTGCTATTCTTGGAAATATTTCCACTAAACAGAAAACACTCAGTTCATTGGCTTTCCAATTCAGGCATCCTTTGATTTGGATTCACTTCTTGGTTGACTAGAATATATCTTCAAGTAGCTTTTTCAAAAGATCATACAAGTATTACATTCTCTGAGCCCTTGACTATCAGAGAATGTTCCTTAGTTGCTTTCACACATGAGTAATAACTTGATCGAGTATAAAATTACTATGAACATAATTTTGCTCTGTAACTCTGAGGCTACTGCTCCATATTGGGGTTGCATATGTGAAATTCAATTCTTACCTTTCTCAGGCAACCTGTGTTTTCAACTTGGACCCTTAGAGGTTTTTCCTTGAAATATTTTTAAGGGCATGTTGGTAGGGATGGGAGCTTGTTTCCAAGATGGCCACCATCCATTCCTTCATTTCCCGTACATGCAAGCCTTTCCCGATTGAGAAGTACAATCTCTTTCTCCACTTCTTTGACTTGACCAATAGAGTGAAATGGAAAAGAAGACTCTCAGAAGACTGTGTGCCTTCTGAAGCTAGGCACAGAAGAAGCCTTGAAGCTTATTCCGGGGCTTCTTAGAACATTCAGTTTGGAGGAAGCCAGCCACCATGGGAGAAGCCCAGTCACCTTGATTGAGACTGCCAGGCTGTGAGGAGGCTGAAGCTAGCCCACAGACAGGTGGAGTGAAGAGAAAGAGATGCCCAGCCAGCCCCTACCTGTTCCCGCCATCCCAGCCCAGATCCCAGACACAACGGTAGAAGCCTTCAAATGATCTAATCCCTGCCACCAGCTGACTGCAACCAGAGACCCTGAGCAAGGTCACCCAGCTGTGCCGAGGGCACCCACAGAATCATCAGAGATAATAGTGAGATGATGGGGTTCATTACAAAGCAAAAGATAGCCAGAAAAATGTGCGCTTCTTCTCAGTAATTTTGCCTGAATTGTGATAAGTCCTTTTTCCTGTATAGTTGGCCTTTTTTTTTTTTTTTTTTTGGAGGAGTCTCACTCTGTCACTCAGGCTGGGGTGCAGTGGTATGATCTTGGCTCACTGCAACCTCCAACTCCCAGGTTCAAGCAGTTCTTCTGCCTCAGCCTCCCAAGTAGCTGGGATCACTGTCATGCACTACCATGCCCGGCCAATTTTGTATTTTTAGTAGAGATGGGGTTTCACCATGTTAGCCAGGCTGGCCTTGAACTCCTGACCTCAAGTGATCTACCCACATCAGCCTCCCAAAGTGCCGGGATTACAGGTGTAAGCCACCACACCCAGCAACTTGGGCTTTATTTTTTTCTGACCCAGAATGCTTTCTGTAATTTTTGTCCATGTTTGTTTTTGCATTTTATTTCTTTTTTTCCATCATGAATGCCCGTTTTCCTTAAGCTGATATTGCCCCTCATAAATAATCTTTCTGTCCATAACATTTATCATTTTTCCTCTTTATGCTACAAGAGCTTCTCGAGCTTGGCTCCCATATTACTGATTTTGGTTTCCTGCAAGGTCACTGCTGCACTTTAACCACCCCCACTGGGGATTTAAATTCTGTCATTGCAATCATAGTTTTGCTTTTGTTTTTTAATCTCTGTCTACACTGTTCTTAGAAACTTCTGCTCCTATTTTATTGAAATTATCCCCTTTGTATATGTTCTATGTAGCACACAAGACAAATTTCCATTGTTTTTCTTCTGGGACACACAGTGAATATTTTTTAAAGGTAGCTTCTTCCTTTTAGAAAGACATTTCCTTCCTCTCATTATGCAGTAATTTTTTGCATACTCTCCACCGATTGACTTTTGTTTATTCATCTTTGCAGAAGCTGGTTATTACCTAGGCTTGTGTTTACCGACAGACAGGTTGTGTGAATTGCCCTCAGTACTTCTCATTGTCCACTAAAGTACCGGTTGACCCCAGCTCCTCACCCCAAACGCCACCATTTTATTTGTTATTTATTTATTTATTTATTGAGACAGGGACACTCTGTTACCCTGACTGGAATGCAGTGGTGCGATCTCGGCTCACTGCAACCTCTGTCTCCCGGGCTCAAGTGATCCTCACACCTCAGCCTGCCAGGTAGCTGGGACTATAGGCACCCACCACCACGCCCAGCTGACTTTTTAAATATTTTGTAGAGATGGGATTTCACCATGTTGCCCAGGCTGGTCTTGAACTCTGGGCTCAAGCCATCCACCCGCCTTGGTCTCCCAAAGTGTTGGGATTACAGTCATGAGCCACTGTGCCCAGCCACCACCACTTTATAATCTAAACCTGGAGAGGAAAGGCTGGCTGGTCTGTACAGCAACTAGAGGCAGTGTCAACCAGGTGCTCGCCTATTACACTGTGTTGAACTGAGGAGGGAACCCCTTCTATCCCACTGCACTGTTGGCTCTTTGGCACAATGAACTAAAAGAAATGCATTAAAAACTATAATCCCCAGCACGCACTCCATTCCATGGGCAATAGCACTTCTGGGAGTTGTCCCTCTTGGGAATCAAAGTGCTTTTGACATTCTTCCCTCTATTTTATCTCCCCTGACCTATATAGTCTTCTAGAAACTTCATTTTTTTAAATGTTTTAATTTTTATTTTTTTGAGACAAAGTCTTTATCTCTCATCCAGGCTGGAGTGCAGTGGTGCAATCATAGCTCACTGCAGCCTCAAACTCCTGGGTTCAAGTGATCCTCCCACCTCAGCCTCCCAAGTAGCTGGGACCACAGGTGTGCACCACCACACCCAGCTAATTTTTGTATTTTTAGTACAGACGGGGTCTCGCTATGTTGCCCAGGCTGGTTTCTAACTATTGGCCTCAAGTGATCCTCCTGCCTCAACCTCCCAAACTGTTGGGATTTGAGGCGTGAGGCACCATGGCTGGCCTTGGAAACTTCAGTCTCTAACTTCAGTAGAACTATGGGCCAGTAAGAAAAAGAGTACTTCACCTATAAAATTACACACCCCTCCTCACCACACAGTGGAGAAAACTTCCACCCCTCCTCCAACCCCAAGTTTCTGATTGGCACAGACTCCGGGTCTCAGAGACTGGGGTTGCAAGCAGGGAAATTGTTGAGTACTTTTCGACCTCTTTTTGGCCTGGAGTGGTTCCCCTAACTCAGGAGATAAAACTTGAACAGAATCCCCATTGTTTATCTCAACCCATCTCCATCTGCCTTGTATTTATGGAAATTCCTCCCAGATTCTAGCAAAAAGGGCCTGTCAGTCTTGGGTGTCAGCACTGTGAGTTTTCAATTCTTTCTGCCTTCTTAGGTATTTTAGTGGAAAGCTGGGAAAATACGTCTCAGGAGCTTCTACTCTGGTGCCAGTTTAAGTTGACCCTCTTCCCCTTACAGTTTCACCTACTTTTTCACTCATTCACTCATTCAATCAACAAACATTTATGGGAAACTTAAAGTGTGCGGGGTATGATACCATACACTGGGAAGCAGAAGGTGAATTGAAGCTTCTCCTTGCCCTTGGAAGAGCCTCTCTTTTGGAGGAAGCACTGTCATAGTTCTCGTATGAGTACAGGAGTGGTGTGTGATGCTGAGACTTCGATAAACCAGAGAGGTTAAGTGACCTGTGCAAGGCTGCACAGTAAATTGGAGCAAGATCCAGAGAAGAGGCTGGTTCTCCTGGTTCTCCAGTCCACATTCCTCCCACTGTGTCTCCTGGCCTCCTCCTTCTTATCATCCTGAGTTTCCTCTCCAGCTCTCCCATGGCTGGGATAACTTATAGCCATTGCTCCATTCCTTACAGATATTTATGTGTGGAGTTCAAGCTTCTCCCCAGTTCTCACCCAGCCCCTGGTCCTTCTCACCCTAGAGCCCTTTTTTGGGCTAGGAACACCTCATATCACAAACTGGAGAAGGTGCCAAGAGGTCTCTGCTACACTCTTCTTATGTTGGTGGCCTATGACTTAACCCCTTTGCTTTTCTCCTTTGACCAGGTCTTTAGAGCAAATGGGCTGATGTCTGTGACCTTCAGATTCAGACAATCTGCTCAAAGCCCCACTCTGACACCTCTTTGCTGTGTGCCCTTGGCCAAGTTACTTGCTGTCTCTGAACTTCATCTCTTCACCTGTAAAATGCGAATAATAACACTGTTCCCACTATTGACGTGTTTACATGAGCTTGTTTGAGCATGCATTTAGCACAGTGCCTGGAATGTAGCAAATGCTCAGTAAATGAGAGCTGCTATTATTACCGTTGTTGTTGTTAGTGCTAGTATTCTGCCTGGTTAGATCATGTTCTCCTTGAGGACAGAGACTGTGTCATTTCCAGGCTGCCTCCCCAGCACCAACACACACAAGTCTTTGACAGATGTTCATTCAGTGTTTGGTGACACACTTACGTCCAATCAAGATGATCAGGCTGCACCCTCAATTGTAAGAAGGTAAACTTGGAAAGGAAGGTGTAACCCAGTGGCTCCCAAAGTGAAATCCCTGGAACCCCAGTTCTTTAGCTTGTTTTGGGAAAAAAAGCGTTCTCTACGCAAATCAACTTGGGAAACACTAAATCCTCTACCCCTTCTTGGGAAAGTCAAATGAGCCTTAAGACATTAAAAGCTCTGACAATTTCTGCATGAAATAAACCGTGGAACTTTGTTAATCTCGCTGTTGCCCATACTTAATTGACCAGGGAATGCTTTTCTCGTAGAACATCTATTATCAACTCACTAACTTTGTGTTCTAGAGGATACTCTCAAAGAGCCCCTGGTGCACACCATTCCTGAATCCCATCCTGTAGCTGCCACTCTGTAGGTATAATCTGCCAATTAGATTGCTTTCAGAATACCTGATAGGGGCTAGGCGTGCATTTGCTATATCTTTCATGGGGCACTGCTACCAAAAACTCTGCCAATATCCCTCATGAGGCCAAAAGCCAATGGGGAAGCCAAGAGCACAGTGACTTCTTTTTAAACAACAGAATAGTCATCAATATGCATTTTTTTTTAAATCCTCAGTTTATTGTACGAACAATAATGAATAATTGGTTTGCTATAAAGACAGAAGAAAGATAGTTCCTGTGCCCTTGCCAAGGGTTATTTTGAACAATGATACCTTTGCAACTGACCTGAAACCTCATTCCTGTTTTAATCCCTGGGGTTTAAAGGGATTACATTAACATTAAAGAACTGGGGTTCCAGGGATTTCACTTTGGGGAGCACTGGGTTACACCTTCCTTTCCAAGTTTACCTTCTTACAGTTGAGGGTGCAACCTGATCATCTTGATTGGACTTAAGTGTGTCACATGGAAACTACATATTTATATTTTGCAATAAATGCTATGATCAGATGAGGTCCCCCACTAGCATGTTCAGTTGCATCCAGAAATAGACTGGTTTCTCCCACCTTCCCTCATCATGCCTGTGGGTGTCTCTAGCCCAAAGTAACACCTTGCAATCCACAGCCCAGGCAATCTCCCTGCCTGTCTCTCTGCCTTTACCCTTGAGCACCTTTTTTCTTGCCTGTAATGGTAATAGTAACTGCCATTTGTTGATCACTTACTGTAGGCCAGGCTCTGCTGTAAGCTTTACCTGATTTAATTACCTGATTTAACTGTTACTTGATTTAATTCTTCTGGCAACTCTGTGAGTGGATATTTATAATCTGCAATTGACAGATGAGGAAATTGAAGCACCAAGAGGTTAAGCAATGTGCCGACACCTAGTAGGTCCCGCCCACACCTAGTAGGTCCCGCTCCTCTTCACATGGCTAGGTAGGAGGGCGGGTGGAGCTGCATTTACTCATCTGGGCCTCCAGTTTTTGTTTCCATTGAGGTGAAATTCGCATGATATAAAATGAACCATTTTGAAGTGTACGACTCAGTGGTGTTTATTAAGTACATTCACAGTGTTGTGCAGTCACCCTCTCTGTCTAGTTGCAAAACATTTTCTTTGTCCCAGAAGGACACCCCAAACCCACTAAGCAGTCACTCCCCACTTCCCCTTCCCCCAGCCCCTAGCCCCTTTCATTCTGCTTCCAGCTTCCAGTTGATTTGGCCCATCCAGTATCTAATGCCTTGCCTGGAATAACACCTTACTTTCCTCAGGGAAATCATCCTTTCCTTGTGCAAAACTAGTTAGTCCTTGGATTCCTGGAGAGGAGGGGCTGGGTCTTGGTCCCTTCCGCATCTCCAGCAATCAGCATGGAGCACAACACAGACTTGTTGAAATAACAGAAGCTCCACCTCATTTCTAGTGGTTTACCTTTAATGTCTATTGAGTTTATTGAGGCCCTACCATGTGCCACTATGGAACTCTAGCAGGAGGCAGAAAAGATGATCCCTATCATACAGAAGGGGGAATTGAGGCTCAGAACATTTAAGCCACTTACCCAAAGGCTGATTTCACTGTGACTTTGTAATTACTGTTCCATTGAACACCAGAGCTTTCTGCCCATCAATGCCCTTGCCATCCCTCCCCTCTGTTTGGGGTCTGGGTTTACTCCTGTGTTAAAAAAGCAAAAGGCCCGACACACAAAGGGAACCCACATACCCGTAAGGCCACCCAGCCTTCTTCAAACACCCAGCCGCTTTGCTCTTGGCTGGGATTCTCTGGGCTTTGGGAGCCTCCTGCTAATCAGAAACCCTGGTCTGCAGTTTGTACGTCTTTGATGAATAAAAAATGGGGAAACAAATTAATTATTACTTAATAAATTCAGTTTGGTTGACAACAATTTTTCAGAACATGAGGCCTCCAAAGTTGGAGTCAGCCCAGGTGTCCATCAACGGGTGGCCAGTGAAATGGACGATGACGCCTTCTCATGGTGGCATGCCTGGGATGGGGAGCTCCGGGCAGTAACGTGGAAAGGTGGGAAGGTGTCCGGGGCATCATGTCTAAAGGGAAAAGAAAATTGCAGGGGAGTTTGAGTTTGGACAGCACAAACTCATTCTTGTGGATGGAAAATAAATGTACATGGGCAGGGATGTAAATATGATGTAGTCACAGAGAAAATTCTAAAAAAACGCCAAATTCAACAACAGTGATCTCTGGGTAAGAGGGTAGAATTAAGGGAAATTTCTGCTTCCTTTTCCTCACTGTGGGTAATTTATTTTAACTAAAAAATGATATAGAATCGATGTAAAAACTTTTAAACATTACAAAAGTGCATCTAATCTAGAGAAATATCCCTGGTCTTCATGCATCTTATAGAAGTATAACCATGGTTTGGAACATATTCTTCCACAATTTTTTCTTTGCACACATAAACACATAATATGCATATATGTACTTTTGGAAGCTAAAAACTGAATTGTAGAATTGCATAGCATGCTCTGTCCCTGGGACTCTATATTGTGGGCATCTTACCAAGTCCATTCATGTCGATCTAGTTTATTCTTTTTAACGGCTTCATAATATTCCATGGTTTTCGTGCCCCAAGTGTATTTAACCAATCCTCTCTCATAAACACTTAATGTTTAGGTTGCTTCCAGTTTTTTGCTACTACAAACTGAGGTGCACTGAATATGTGTGAACATTCATCTTTGCACTAGGTGAATATGACTAGTTACAAGATAAATTCCAAGAAGTGAAATTGCTGGACTAAGGGGGATACACTTATAAAAATGTGGAGGCAGCACTCCAGCAGGGCGCTGTGGTATCCATCTGTAGTCCCGGCTGCCCGGGATGCTGAGGCTGGAGGATCAATTGAGCCCAGGAGTTTGAGACCAGCCTGGGCAATGTAGTGAGACCCCCGTCTCAAAGATAAATTCATTAAATATGGATGGGTATTGCCAAATTGTCTTCCAAAAAAGTTGGTGAGATTTACCCCATCATCTGCATGAATGGAAGTGCCTTTTAACCACATCCTCACCAACAATGGATGTTCTCCCTTTGTTTTTGTTTTTTTTTTTTTTTAGATGGAGTCTGGCTCTGTCGCCCATGCTGGAGTGCAGTGGCACAATCTCAGCTCACTGCAAGCTCTGCCTCCTGGGTTCACACAATTCTCCTGCCTCAGCCTCCCAAGTAGCTGGGACTACAGGTGCCCACCACCACGCACGGCTAATTTTTTGTATTTTTAGTAGAGACGGGGTTTCACCATGTTAGCCAGGATGGTCTTGATCTCCTGACCTCATGATCCGCCTGCCTCAGCCTCCCAAAGTGCTGGGATTACAGGTGTGAGCCACCGCGCCCAGCCTGTTCTCCCATTTTTTTAATCTGATAAAGATGGAGCTTATTATGGTTTCAGTCTGCCATCTTCAATTCCAAGTACAGTTGAATTCGTTCTCAGCTTAGTGGGCAGTTGTTTTTCTTCTGTGAATATCTACATGCTTTGCCCACTTTTTGTTTAAGGCTTTTACTTTCTACATTATATAGACTTTCTTATGGCAAATAGCCAGTTCAAGTCTACAATCCTTTATCTGAAACCTTTGGGGGAAGATCTATTTCAGGATTCAAAATCTGTGTGGCTCTTAGAAAGGCATCGGGAGCCGTGTCTTATCTAACACTCCCAGAGAGGTTTGGGGCAGCACTCTATAATCAAACACATTAATATTTCTGCAGTGAAAGGTATAAACATTTCCACAAAGGGGGATGAATAAGTAATATAAATAACCTCATATTGGTTCCGATCAGCTTTTGCCACCACACATGTTAACCAGGAAGGACTCAACAGTTTCCAGAGCTTTTAGGACTTTAGAATTTTGGCTAACAGACGGTGGACTTGCATTATTTTTGTTTGCAGAGGGGAAAAAAAATGATAAAATTGATATGGTTTGGCTCTGTGTCCTCACCCAAAACTCATGTTGAATTGTAATTCCCAGTGTTGGAGGAGGAGCCTGGTGGGATGTGATTGGCTCATGGGGGTGGAATTCCCCCTCAGTGCTGCTCTGGTGATGGTGAGTGAGTGTTGCAAGACTAGGTTGTTTAAAAGTGTGTGGCCCCTCCCCATCCCCTCTCTCCTGCTCCGCCATGTGAAAATCTGCCTACTTCTCCTTCGCCTTCCGCCATGATTGTAAGTTTCCTGAGGCCTCCCCAATCAGGCTTCCTGTATAGTCTATGGAACTGTGAGTCAATTAAACCTCTTTTTTTTTTTTTTTTTTTTTTTTCATAAATTACCCAATCTCAGGTAGTTCTTTTTTTTTTTTGAAATGGAGTCTTGCTCTGTTGCTCAGGCTGGAGTGCAGTGGCACAATCTTGGCTCACTGCAACCTCCATCTCTCAGGTTCAAGCAATTCTCCTGTCTCAGCCTCCCAAGTAGTTGGGATTACAGGCATGTGCCACCACACCCGGCTAATTTTTTTTTTTTTTTTTTGTATTTTTAGTAGAGACGGTGTTTCACCATGTTGGCCAGGCTGGTCTCAAACTCCTGACCTCAAGTGATCTGCCCGCCTCGGGTTCCCAAAGTGCTGGGATTACAGGCATAAGCCACTGCAACTGCCTTCAGGTAGTTCTTTATAGCAGTACAAGAACAGACTAATAGAACAGTTAACCTTAAAATTAAGGCCGTGCTGGTTCACACCTGTAATCCCAGCACTTTGGGAGGCTGAGGCAGGTGGATCACCTGAGGTCAGGAGTTCAAGACCAGCTTGGCCAACATGGTGAAATCTTGTCTTTACTAAAAATACAAAAAAATTAGCCAGGCGTGCTGGTGGGCAACTGTAATCCCAGCTATTCGGGAGGCAGAGGCAGGAGAATCACTTAAACCTCGGAGGCGGAGTTTGCAGTGAGCCGAGATTGTGCCATTGCACTCCAGCTTGGGCAACAGGAGTGAAACTCCATCTCAAAAAAAAAAAAAAAAATGAAATGAATAATGCCCATGCAGGGAAATTAACAGCAAGTGACAAAGGGCCAGGGTTCCTTCCTTCATCTGCAGACTTTGGGAGCATCAAGGCAAGTGGGACGAGATGGGGAATATGTATGTTTAGCCCGAGCTCTCAGGGACAGAAGCACATACACCCCATCACTGTTGCCTTCAGCCAGCTGGCTTCAGCCCTCTCCCTAGCATGCTTTTTTCCTCTTCCAGCCCTGTGGCCCTAACCCCACTCCCCCGATCCGCCATTCCCAATGCCTGTCTCCTGTGCGTCAGGGGCCACCTGTGCATCAGGGCCAGCAAAGACCACCTTTCCAGCAGCCCCTTCTACCCTGACAGCTGTGTGACGTCTCCTTCACACCACGCCTGGATGCAGATGAAATTAATTCAGTCTCATGGAGCACCCTGGCAGAAGAGCCTCTCACCTCCCTGCCGTCCAAGAGCATAAGTCAGTGATTTCCACGAGAAGGCCCTGATACTAATTCTTTCCCCAATATATAAAAACCAGGTGCTTCCAGGAAGTGTAAATATGAATCTACTTTAGGCTCTTAGAGCTACTGTGGAATTGAATAATCATAAAAGATACTTCTTCCATAGAGATTTATGCCTTCCTTGTGCCCCCACCCCCAGTTCCCAACCGATAAAAAAACCATATTTTACCAAAATATATCTCCCATCAGCGGTCCTGGAACACCTCACTAACTGACTATATTTATTGGGAAATGATTCACATTAATTTCAGGCATCATCCTAATATTATATTTATGACAGACTGTGTGAGCAGAGGCAAGGGCCCTCGCCTCGTTCCTGGCATACATTTTCTGTCTCTGCAAATACATATTGTAAACACTGCCTAGAGAGATAGAATCATAAAACCAAAATAGGTTATCTTTGGAAAATCTGTTAATCCTAATCAAATAAGACAACTGCTTGCCTGATTTGAGAAGCTGAGAGGCTTTACCCAAGGTCTGGGGGAGAATTTCCCTTGGAACTTTCTTATTCCCATATCCCTCCCACAACCATTTTTATTCTAAGATGTGACTCGACTTTTTCATGCTGGGGAGACCCTCACAGTGAATGAAGCTTGACATTCAAATCCTGCCAAGTGAATAGTTGCTCATTGTGTGGAAGGAGGAACTAAAGGGTTAAAAGCAGACAAGGCAGGAAGATAAGATCAAGGTATGTTTGTTCAGTGAATGCATTTTGTGTCGTTTGATGCAGAGAGATGTCGTTATGGACCCAGATAGAGAAACCACAAAACGTCTGCCCCTAGGGATAGGGGGACTCTGGACAAGCCAGAGGCTCACCAGAGACAGACAACTCCCTGATGCTGGGAGGGAAGAACCTGAAGGCTTTTAAGAATAGGAGATCTAATATTTAATCTTAAATTGCATTGTGCAATGTGATGTAGACACACACACATGCACACACCACTGCAACTGTCATGTCTAATAAAAGTCATACACCCAGTATAACCTAGAGTTGGGGGCACTCTGGGGAAAAGGGACAAAGGGCTTTGTCCCACGTTGGGGTTGCTATCATCTGCCTGCCTGTATTCATTCCCGCATCTAGGAGCAGCACCCCTCACCCCTCCCTCACCCCAGTGCAAGGTTTGGGTGAAGCCCACCTCAACCCTTGGCTCCAAGGATGAGCACATGACTTAGACCTGGCCTATCAGAGCATTTTATCTGCCTCGACATAATGATTGGTTCCTGATGCCCATGTGACTCGGGCCTAGCCAATTGGAGCATTTAATCCTCCTAGACACAATCACTGGTGTCAGACCTGGCCAATCAGAGCTTGTTGTCCTTCTGGCTACAGTGATTGGTTCTGGGATTGGCACACATCTAAGACTGGCTCATAAGAACAGGCTCTCTCTCTGGCCCCAGAGTTTGGTACAGGAAAGGGCAGGACTCAAAGACAGACTGAAGAAAGCCAATCCAGGATTTTTGCTGGAACTTTGAGGAAGGAAACGACAAGCTCTCTTTAGACTGGGGTTTTTGAGGGATGGGATGCAAGCTTGAGTACCTAGCAGGTATCTTCCCACCATGAGGGTGGAAAAATTTTGCCGCGTGACTGAGAATAAAGACCATAGACAAAAACAGCAGAGCAGTAAGAAAAGCTAGATTCCCAATGAGATAAACATGATGACAAGAATACGAATACTAATAACTCGTATCTTGTGCTTACCATTGTCAAACTCTACTCTAGAAGCAATACCTATATTTACGTGGTCCTCTAACAACCCTAGGAGCTTTTATTACTTCCACTTCACAGATGAGACGATGGAGGTACAGAGAGATCACCCAGCAAGGGGCAGAGCCAGAACTGGAAGTCAAGCAATCTGGTTTCATAATCCCTGTTCATAACTACTGTGCCTCATTCAACAAACATTTACTGAGCACCTACTCTGTGCCAGGCTGTGTGAGGACATGGAGAGGAACCAGCCCTAATCCCTGGTGCATCAGTTTGCTAGGGCTGCCATAACAGAACACAACAAACTGGGTGGCCTAAAGAACAGAAATTTATCTTGGCCGGGTGCAGTGGCTGATGCCTGTAATCCTAGCACTTTGGGAGGCCAAGGCGGGAGGATCACTTGAGCCCAGGAGTTTGAGACCAGCTTGGGCAACATGGCAAAACCTCGTCTCTAAAAAAAATTTTTTTTAATTAGCCAGGTATGGTGGTACATGCCCGTAGTCCCAGCTACTCAGGAGGCTGAGGTGGGAGGATCACCTGAGCCTGGGAGGTTGAAGCTGAGGTGAGCCATGATCGTGTCACTGCACTCCAGCCTGGGTCATAGGGTGAGAGCTGGTCTTAAAAAAAGAAAAGAAAAGAAAAGAAATTTATCTTTTCACAATTCTGGAGTCCAAAAGTCCAAGATCAGGATACCATCAGGGTTGGTTTCTAGTGAGGCCTCTCTCTTCCAAGCTTGTGGACAGCCACCTGCTTGCTGGGTCCTTAAATGGCCTCTTCCTTGTGTGTGCAGAGAGAGCAAAAGCGTGAGAGAGATCTATTGTCTTCCTCTTCTAAGGACACCAGTCCTGTTGGATAAGCCCCCGGGCCTTATGATCCCATTTAACATTAATTACCTCCTTAAAGGCCCTGTCTGCAAATACACTGGGGTTTAGGGCTTCACCATATGAGCTTTAGGAGAATGCAATCCAGTTCATAACTCCTGGTCTCCAGGAGCTCAGGGTGGAGGAGGGGGTCATGAAGGACGCAGGCCGGTTGGCCACTGGGTGGACTGAGCCACAAGTGCAGTAGGTGCCCTCCGCCCGTGACTGTGCTGCCACCTGCTTCCATTTGCAGAGACACTCATTCTCTTCAGGAGAGCAGCTCTGGCCCTAACAGGCCTTCAGAAATGTCAGGGGTATTTTTAGCCTGGAGAGTTGGTGCGTCCCGTGGCACATGAAAGAAACGAGACTGCTCTGGGAAGACAAATGGGAAGCCACAAGAGACTATTTCAGGAGAGGGGCTGGGTGCAGGGGCAGCCTGGGAGCTTTGTAGGGAGGAATGAGGGGAAAACAGCCAGATCGCTGGGTATCTGGAACTGGGGAGGGGGCTGCTACTTGGAGGAGCCTGGAACCTTCCAGAAAGTGCCACCTTAGGCTGGGTGCGGTGGCTTGTGTCTGGAACCCCTGTACTTTGGGAGGCTGAGACGGGCAGATCACTTGAGGCCAGGAGTTTGAGACCAGCCTGGCCAACATGGCGAAACCCCGTCTCTACTAAAAATACAAAAATTAGCCAGGTGTGAGGGCAGGTGCCTGTAATCCCAGCTACTTAGGAGGCTGAGGCAGGAGAATTGCTTGAACCCAGGAGGCAGAGGTTGCAATGATCCAAGATCCTGCCATTGCACCCCAGCCTCAGGGACAGAGCAAGACACTGTCTCAAAAAAAAAAAAAAAAAAAAAGTGCCACCTTAGCATTTTCAGGTACATGAGGGAGTAGCACTCACAGTGAGATGGCCAAATGAGCACAGAAAATGGAAATAGGTCCTTTAGCCATTCAACAAACTCACACTCTGTTGCTCCAGAGCCCAACACGCCATCAGTGCTGGAACATTTTGTTGAACGAAGAGTACTTGTTCTCTGAGCATGCATCCGCAGTGGTTCAGAACCATATCAAGAGCCAGAAATACAAAAAAGAAAGCACAACTGCTGTTCCTACATTAGCTGGAGGTGGAACATCGTAGAACAGTGTGGTAACCTCAGGGGCTCTGCTTACACTTAGCCTGTTTTGCAAGGTCAGGGAAGGCTCCCTAGAAGAGGTGACGCTTGAATTGGAGGCTTCAAAGGCAATCCAAAGAGAGCCAGGCCAAGAGGGGAGTCAAGTGCAGAGGCCTGGAGGTGTACTGGCAAGAAAAAGAAAATAATAAATAAAAATAACAGCTCCCCAGCCTGGCCAATATAGTGAGACCTCATTTAAAAAAAAAATAAAAAATTAGCCGAGCATGGTGGCATGCATCTGTAGTCCTACCTACTCAGGAGGCTGAGGTGGGAGGATCGCTTGAGCCTGGGAAGTAGAGGTTGTAGTGAGTTGAGATCGCATCACTTCACCCCAACCTGGAGAACAGAGCAAGTCTCCGTCTCAAAAAAAAAAAAAAAAAAAATTTAAAATAACAACTCCCTGAGGAGCAGGCACTGCGCTAATTGTGTAAAGGCAAGACTGAGTTTCATCCCCACAACAACCCCAGGAGGAAAGTGCTATTATAACCTCTGATTTGCAGAGAGGAAACATCTGGCTATAAAAAGTTAAGAGCATGGACTTTGTGGCCAGGTGCTCTGAGTTGGAATCCTGACTTCAACATTTACAAGCTGTGTTACCCAAGGCAAGTGACAGTCCCTCTCGGGGCCTTAGGTCACCCATATGTAAAAGGGAAATTATAATAGCGTCTACCTCATTTAGGGTTGCTGTGGGAGTTACATGAATTGCTGTAAGGAAAGTGCTTAAAACACTGCTCAGTGTGAAAGCCATTGTTCAGTAAGTGCGGAATGGATGAATGAATGGAGAAGTGAATGAATGAAATTAGGGCTTGATATGGTTTGTCTGTGTCCTCACCCAAATCTCATCTTGAATTGTAGCTCCCATAATTTCTACGTGTTGTGGGAGGGTCCTGGTGGGAGATAACTGAATCATGGGGGCAGTTTCCCCCATACTGTTCTTCTGGTAGTGAATAAGTCTCACGAGATCTGATGATTTTATAAGGGGTTTCCCCTTTCACTTGCCTCTCATTCTGTCTTGTCTGGTGCCATGTAGGGTGCCACCTAGGGTGGTTCTGAGGTTTTGATGTAAGAACACATGTCAAAAGCTTAACCAGGGCTTCAAACATAGTCACTGCTCAAAAAACATCAGCCGCTTGATGATTCTTGTTAGCAAATACTACTATGTGTGTCCTCCTTGTTGGCCCTGCCTCTTGGTGCATTCACCCTTCTTTACAAGAGCCCAAGTTTGGGTCCAGAAAAGCAACACTCAGCCTGCCTTTGCTGTTGGCCATGGCTCTGATTTAGGAGACGCTGGGAGGGGCCCTTTCTGTAGGTGCTCAGCTAGTATGGACTGCTGGGTGGATTTCCAGGAACCAGGATTCACACCCAGGCCCTCGTGTTGATGCTGAGGTACAAAGACGAATAAAAAAGTATTCCTGCTTTCAAGGCGTTCTTGTTCAACTGAATGACTTCTCTTCAGGCTATTCCAATGGGCTGGTTTGATTAACAACAACAACAACAACGATGATGACAGTCATAATAGTTAGGAAGCCACCTTTGTAAAGATAAAGAAAATTATGACCATGAAAGAGATTTGACCAAACTGACTCCATCTTGCCTTTCACCTTCAGGCTGCCCTTGTTCATTCCTGGGTGTAGGCAGAACTAACTTTGGGAGGAATTTTATTTATAATTTAGCTTTAAAATAAAAGTGATCACAGTGCCTCCCCAAAACAAACCTCCTCCTTGCTTAGGGACCAGACCGTCTTTGTAAAGCTAACACATTAGCCACAAGATTAGAAATAATGGCTCAGGAGTCATGCAGTCAGAGGCCACAAAATTTCTAACCTCCCCATTTCCTCCTGTGGATAACGTTACTATTGTGAGACTTAAGATTGGTGTTTCAGATATTTTTCGGACCCTACATTCTGGTGGATCAGCTGGTGCTGCCCAGACAGGTAAGCTGGCTCATCTGTTCTTGTGGCCCCCATGCAGGAACTGATTCAGCCCAAGAGGACAGCTTTGAATACTTGTGATTTCATCCCCAACCCCAACCCCAACCAATTGGCACTCCCCATTCCCTAGCCCCCTGTCCACAAACTATCTTTAAACACCCTAGCCTCTGAATTTTCTGGGAGGATGATTTGAGTAATATTAAAACTCTGGTCTCCTGTTTAGCTGGCTCTATATGTATTAAACTCTTTCTCTGTTGCAACTCCTCTGTCTTGGTAAATTGGCTTTATCTGGGTAGCAGACAAGAAGAATCCATTGGGTGGTTACAGCTGCAAATTTAATGACTGTTTACAACATGCCTGGCATCGTGCCAAGGTCTTTATTCACTGCCTTCACGTGATCCCTCTCAACCCAGAGAGTAGGCAATATTATTACCCCTTCTACAGGTGAGAAGAGTGAGCCCACAGAGGGAGTGAGTGGGCCTCAGCCCCATGGCCGGCCTGGAGCTATGTTGTGAACATGAAGCCCATGCCCTTTCTAACCACTCAGAATTGAAACATGGATTTGTTTACTCTTGATTTTGCCACAGTCCTGGAATTAACCCAATTTTGGCTTTTTATCCAGCTATAGATGCCAGTTTGGCTGAGGTATCCGGTGGGTAACTTCTGAGACAGGTATCAAGGCTTTAGTCAGGCCAGCGCCTGAAGGGACAGTCTTTGTTACAGCTCAAAGGGTCACTTTTTGGCCTGATTACAGGAAGCAACTGAGCCTTCAATACTTAAAGAATAGGCACTCTGTTAGATTTGATTTTTCCTACCAGGTGGCAGGCCTTTCCCTCCAAAGCCCTCCCTGCCTGCTACCTTCTTGGTGACCCTGCCTGTTGGTGCATTCACCATCATTTGCAAGACTCCAAGACCATCCAATTTGGGTCCAGAAAAGCAACACTCAGTCTGCCTTTGCTGTTACCCATGGCTCTGATTTAGGAGAGGCTGGGAGGGGCTCTTTCTGTAGGTGCTCAGCTTGTATGGACTGCTGGGTGGATTTCCAAGAACCAGGACTCACACCCAGTCCCTGGGATCTCCCAGACCAGCTGGTGATCCCTCTGGTCATGCCAGTCAAGGGGCCAAAATGCCCATCCCAGTGGCTGCCTCCCCTCGCCTGCAGGGTGAGACAGAGGGTGAGTTCAGGGTCTCTGGGCCTGGGGGAACCATAGAAGACCCTCTAAGGCTCAAAAGACCCCAAGAGCACCCTCTCCCAGCCTGACAGCTTTGCTCCACCACCTTCCAGGGGCTTTTGCTGCACCGCCTGGGACAAGAGCTGACTCTATCCTGTGTCTCTAAAACAGCCACCCAGAAGCCACCTTTCATAGTATCTTCCCATATGTACTGTTGTCACTTATTTTACACTTTTCTTCAAATGGACTCAGTTTTCTTTTTCTTCTTTTTACTGTAAATATATGTATTGGAGAAGGAAACATTACGTTGCTACTTTAAATGAAACACCAGTTTTCCTTTGCAGAAAAAAAATTAACAGAAAAATAAATCTACGTATGTTAATTTTAAAAAATTCCATGTTTAACTTGGTATAGTCTTATCTATAATAGCTCCCTTTATATATTTCTTACTAATTACAAAGGGAAAAATTATAGTGGAGAAACCTGGCAGATACCACCCTATTCAAGAGGTAAGTAGGTATGACACCAGTGGGACAGACAGATGCCAGGTGCCTCCTGCTACAATGCACTGAGGGGGACATAGCATCACTTCTGTGGTTTTCCTGCTAAAAGTGCATCACCTGAATCTAACCTCCAGGAAACATCCAGGAAACCCAAAGTGAGGGAAATCCTCCAAAATGGACTCTTCGAAAATGTCAAGACCAACACAAAGAAAGGCTAAGGAAGGATTCCAGATCAAAGGAGACCAAAGAGACATGACTGCTGATTTCAGTGTATAGTCCTGCATTTGCTCCTAGACTGGAAAACCAATTGCTATAAAATACAGCATTAGGACAATTGGTGAAATTTGAAGATGGAATCTAAAAAATTCAGATCATAGAACTACATCAATGTTAAGTTCTCTGAATGCAATAATTGTACAGTAATTATATAAGGGAATGAATGACCTTATTCTTAGGAGAGACACACTGAACTGTGTGTATCAAGGATCGTGGTAGTGACTGCATTAACTCACAAATGCTTCAGGGGTTGGGAAATAGAGGCAGGAGAGATACAGTAAATGTGGCAAAATGTCAACATTTGGCAAATCTGGGGAAATTCAGGGAGCTTGTTGTACCTTACTCTTCTTGCAACTTTTCTTTTTCTTTCTTTTCTTTTTTTTTTTTTTTTTTTTAGATTCTCCCTGTGTCATCCAGGCTGCAGCATTGACCTCCTGGGCTCAGGTGATCCTCCCACCTCAGCCTCCCAAGTAGCTGAGACTACAGGCACACACCACCACTCTTGGCTAATTTTTATATTTTTTATAGATATGGGGGTTTTGCTATGTTGCCCAGGCTGGTCTCAAACTCTTGGGCTCCAGCGATCTGCCCACCTCGGCCTCCCAAAGTGCTGGGATTACAAGCATGAGCCACCACACCTGGCCTACAACTTTACTAATATTTTTCCCCAGTAAAAAGTTTTGGAAAATGTCCACCTGAGGAGAGCAAGAGCAACTCACACATCACAGGAACTCATCCTGCGCTGTGGAAAATGCTACTCAGTTGGTGCGATTTCTCCTTTATTTATTTATTTATTTTTTTGAGACAGGGTCTCATTCTGTTGCTCAGGCTGATCAGTGGAGTGATCACAGCTCACTGAAGCCTTGAACTCCTGGACTCAAGCAATCCTCTTATCTTTGCCTCCTAAGTATCTGGGACTGCAGGTGTGCACCACCACTCCTGGCTAATCGTGTGTGTGTCTGTGTGTGTGTGTGTTGTTGTTGTTGTTGTTGTTGTTGTTGCTGAGACAGGATCTCACTGTGTTGCCCAAGCTGGTCTCAAACTCCTGGGCTCAAGTGATCCTCCCACCTTGGCCTCCTGAAGTGCTGGGATTACAGGTGTGAGCCACTGTACCCGACCTCTAATTATTATTTGTAATTCTTCTCCTCACAGCTCAATGATATCTTTAGTAGACTCTGCCTACTCATTTCCCTCTTAGAGATTCATGACCCACATTAGCATACTAAAGGCTCTGAAAAGTCCTGCATCCACAAAAATGTGTTCAATATGTTTTTGCTGGAGGGAAGAGCTGCCATTTGTCGAGCCCATACCATGTCCCTGGCACTATGCTGAGTGCCCTAGGAGGTGGATGCTATCATTATACCTGTTTCGCAGATGAGGGAACCAAGGCTGAAAGAGGCAAATCACTTATCCCAAGATTCCCAGATAGAAAGCTGCAGAGCCAGGATTAGAATACTTTCCCTTAATTGCCATGTGACGCCTCCTTCTGAAGCCACAAAGCAATTATTGGAGGCAATCTAGTGGCTGAGAGCACAGACTCTGGTTCAGGTCCCAGCTCTGCCACTTGCTAGCTGGAGTAGAACAAGTCACTTACCTGTACCATGGGGTTACAGAGCCATTGGAACAAATCAGTCATATACAGAGTGATCAGAGCAGTGTCTAACAGCGCCTGGGGGAAATGGAGATTCAGAGAGGTGAAGTGATTTGGCCACAGTCACACAGGAAGTGGCAGGCGCAGGGTTTGGACCCAGGCCTGGGTGACCCCAGAACCTCATGGGATCCTGTGACCTGTTGACCCTGAGCTCACTTCCTGATTCTGGTCCCCGTTTGTCCCTGTATCTCAGGCTTCCTTCCAGCTCCCCCTGTCCTAGTGGGTTCACCTTGCCTCCTGCCTAGACAGAGCCGATTTATCAAGACAGGGAAATTGCAGTAGAGAAAGAGTAATTCACGCAGAGCCAGCTGGGCAGGAGACCAGAGTTTTATTATTACTCAAATCAGTCTCCCCCAAAATTTGGGGATCAGAGTTTTTAAGGATAATTTGTTGGGTAGGGGGCCAGTGAATCGGAAGTGCTGATTGGTTGGCTTGGGGATGAAATCATAGGGAGTCGAAGCTGTTCTCTTCTGCTGACTCAGTTCCTGGGTGGGGGCCACAGAACTGGTTTGCATGTCCAGGTGGGGCCATCTGGTTTTAGGAAATGCAAAAACCTGAAAAGACATCCCAAAAGGCCAATCTTGGGTTCACAACAGTGATGTTACTTTTTTTTTTTTTTTTGAGATGGAGTTTCGCTCTTGTTGCCCAGGCTGGAGTGCAATGGCACAATCTCAGCTCACTGCAACCTCCGCCTCCCGGGTTCAAGCGATTCTCCTGCCTCAGCCTCCTGAGTAGCTGGGATTACAGGCATGCGCCACCACGCCCAGCTAATTTTGTATTTTTAGTAGAGACAGGGTTTCTCCATGTTGGTCAGGCTGGTCTCAAACTCCTGACCTCAGGTGATCTGCCGGCCTCAGCCTCCCAAAGTGCTAGGATTACAGGCGTGAGCCACCACGCCCAGCCTGAGCCACCACACCCGGCCGATGTTACCTTTAAGAGTAATTGGGGAAGTTGCGAATCTTATGACCTCCGGGATAATGGCTGGTAATATTTAGAATTCCAGCCCCTCTCATTCTAACTTGGTGGCTGGTGGCCTTTCATTCCTTTTACAAGAAGAGTTTAGCTTTTGGGAAGGGCTGTTATTTAAACTATAAACTAAGTTCCTTCCCAAGGCTAGTTCAGCCTATGCCCAGGAATGGACAAGGACAGTTTAGAAGTTAGAAGCAAGATGGAATTGATTAGGTTTGATAGCATTCACTGTCATAATTTCCTTAGTTATAATTTTACAAAGGCAGTTTCAGTAGTCAAGGCCTGCAGTGGGTGCCATGATGAAGACGCCATTTTCCTAGTCTAGGGGTGTCTCCAATCAGTCCTCACGGGGGCAGGGGATATTTCTTCTGGGCCCTCAGCCTGGATCTTCTGCTCATATCCCATAGCCAGCCTGGGTGGGCAAGCTGGCTGCCCCTTCACTGCCACCCTTAACTGCCGCTGAAGTCAGTGCCACTCACAAACCCATAGGTTACCAGAATGTTCCCCTGGCTTACTCACTACCTTCCTTCAAGTGAACTGGGCCACATTAAAGCCATCGTGTGAGATATTTATTTATTCAGCAAAAGAGAATAAAACAACAACAACAATGAGAGCAACAGGGTTCGAATCCATTTCAGCCTAACTGATATTTTACACAATTGGATACGTTTGACTAAACTAATACATATGTATGATACTGGTGCATTTCCATTCAAACCAATGTAAATTACCTTTGACCAATATATTTTTCTGAAAATCAATGCATTTTAACAGGAGATAATATTTATGAAATTGAATTTTTTATTGAAGCTAATGCAATTCTATTCTATTTTATGCATTTTTATTAAACTAATGCATTTTAAATTAATCCATTGTATATTAAGTACAACAGACATTGGTACTTACAGTAAAATAATATATGCCCACTGAAATCAATACAGTTTCAAAACCCAGTGTTTTCCATTTAACTGAAGGGCTTCAAGAATACACAGCCATGAGTTCAGGCCATGTAAATGTAAAATCCTGTCTTTCCTTTTTCTATTTTTCAAAATCATTCTCACATAAAAGATATTGTGCCTCAATGTATTGAGGATTTAGAATTTAGAATGTATTGCAGCCCGAGGATTTAGAATTAATTCACGGTTGTAACAGCCAACCCAATCACATCCGAGCTTACCGACTTTTTGACCAAGTGGACAGGTGATTCTTAATCACAAGGTGTAACACAAGTCACTTGTAGCTACTAATGAAATACCAAAGTTTGCAAATAACTTTGGGGAAACAAACAAACAAACAAAAGCTAATGAATCAGTCAGTGTCTTGGTAGGAAAAGGCAAAACCCTCCAACTGGCATTTACAGAGGAGTTTAATAAAAAGACATTTATGCATTAATTTTAGAGACAGTGTCTCTCTGTGTTGCCTAGGCTAGAGTGTGGTGGCGGGATGATAGCTCACTGCAGCCTCGAAATCCTGGGCTCAAGTGATCCCCCCATCTCAGCCTCCTGAGTACCTGGGAACTACAGGTGCATGCAACCAAGCCCAGCTAATTTTTTTTAAAAATGTTTGTAGAGACAGGGTCTTGCTTTGTTGCTCAGGCTGGAAGACTGTTTATGAAGGTGAAGGCAGATTTGGAAACAGCAATTGTGCTAGGAGCCACAGGGAGCTGTTTCCATGTGGGCATCACTGAGATAGAGAGCAAGCAGCTGGCAGAGAGAGAGAAGCCATGGCCATCGGTAGAGAAGCTCAGCCTCCCTTGGCAGTCCCCCAGGGAGGGAGCCAGAAGAATACATACCTGACCTCCCTCTCCTTCCTGCATCTGATCTCCTGTCAATATCTTCCATTGGCCAAATCCAGCAGAAACCAGAGCCGAGGGAGGCCGTTGCAGTCCTGGGGCAGCACAGAGCAAGCTGGAGAGAGGTGGAGAAGAGTGGATCTGGACAGGCAAAGTGAAGATATCAGTGCACTTATTATAGCAAGTGCTTATTACAGGCTAATAAGCTTTCTCAATTAATTCTCACAACACCTTATCAGGAAGGTGCTATGATTACTCCCATTTCCAGGATGGGGAAATTGAGGCTCAGAGAGATTAAATGGACAGAGATCCAACTTTGTGAAGGAAGGGGACAATCTCTGAGGAAGATCATCCTTTTAAATAAAAGAAGAAAATGGCCAGGCGCAGTAGCTCACGCCTGTAATCCCAGCACTTTGGGAGGCTGAGGTGGGCAGACTGCTTGAGTCCAAGAGTTCGAGACCAGTCTGGGCAAAATGGCAAAACCCTATCTATACTAAGAGTACAAAAAATTAGCGGGGCATGGTAGTGCGCACCTGTAGCCCCAACTACTTGAGAAGCTGAGGTGGGAGAATCACCTGAGCCCAGGAAGTTGAGGCTACAGTGAGCCGTGATGGCACCATTGCACCCCAGCTTAGGCAACAAGAGTGAGACCCTGTCTCATAAAAATAAAGTAAATAATAAAAGAAGACAAGATTCTCTTTAGACCCATCATACCTCTTCCCTTCTGCATGGGACTCAGATATGAGGACCTGATGTCTGGGGCTGTGGCAGCCACCTTGTGACCATGAGGGGAGACATCACCAGCACACTGAGTCTAGCAGAACAGAAAGAGCAGAGGAGTCTGGGTCCTTGTTGCCTTGGTTGAGTCCCTAAACCAAGCCCAGAACTCCCTACCTTCAGGCTTCCTGCTAATTAACAATAAATGCCCTTTTAAGTCTTTTAAGGAGGCATTAGTTGAGTTTACTGTTACTTGTAGCTAGAAGCATTCCTAACTGAAACACCATCACCTATACATTGCTTGCATTTTTAATAATGCATATGTATTACCTTTGCAAAAGACACAAAAGCAAACAATAAACAGCTGTTAACCACATCCCTCATCCGACTTCACCAAACTGGTGGTAGGATTTTTTTCCTTCAGGACAATACCCAGGTGCACATGATGTTTTAAAGTTGAATTCACAGAACTATTTTATTACATTTTTATACAAGGTTTTTCATTATGCACATTCAGACAGCAGAACCACTCAAGCGTATGCATCTCGGCTCCTCTGTCACTGAGGACCCCATCCACAGCTCTCCCAGAGCACAACACTGCTATCATTGCATTTCCCGTGGGGTTCCCTTAAAAGCCTTCCCTCTCCCACATCCACCAGCTCTGAGTCAGTTCAGGGAAACTGCCAGGGTTCCCAGGGACCCGTGGGGAGCTCATGGCATTTTCCCAGAATTCTCCATGGATGTTAGCATCTTTCTTCTACGAGAGGAAAATTTTGCTCTAAATTTCCATCTTGCTCCTGTCTCTGAATATGGACTTGTAAAATTCTATACCTCAAGGGGTTTGGGAAATTTACTCCTCCCTCAGTGGTTTTCAATGGTGAGATTTCTGTGGAGCTTCAGTTTTGTCATCTGGAAAATGGGGGTGCCGCTAGGATCTACCTCATAGGATTGATGCGAGAGGGAAAGAGTGAAAACATGTGGAGTGACCAGCACGGGGAACAGGCTCAGTGACTTCAGGCTCTTGTGAATAGCAAAACTAATACCATTATTATCACTTGGAGAGTCAATAACAGCTTGTAATGTGCCCATCCACATCACGACCAGCTTCCTCAGTGGCGTCTGCTCTTATGAAAAAATTTAGGTCATCACAATGTCTCAACTTGGCATGAGTATCTGTTTTACGAGCTCATCCATGGAACTGGTTAGCCAGTAGGAGTCAGTGGGGAGCTAAGAGCTTGGACATTAAATCCAGAGAAACCTGGGCTGGGCGCAGTGGCTCATGCCTATAATCCCAGCACTTTGGGAGGTTGAAGCGGGCGGATCACTTGAGGTCAGGAGTTAGAGACCAGCCTGGCCAACATGGTGAAACCCCGTCTCTACTAAAAATACAAAAATTAGTTGGGCGTGGTGGCAGCCACCTGTAATCCCAGCTACTCACTTGAGAGGCTGAGGCAGGAGAATTACTTGAACCCGGGAAAAGGAGGTTGCAGTGAGCTGAGATCATCCCACTGTACTCCAGCCTGGGCAAGAGAGTAAGACTCTGTCTCAAAAAAAAAAAAAAAAAAAAAAGAAAAAGAAAAAAGAAAAGAAAAGAAAAGAAAAAATCCAGAGAGATCTGAGCTCAAATCTCAGCTTCACCCAGCCATGTGATCTTGGGCAAATCACTTTGACTCTCTGAGCCTCAGGTTCCTCATTTGGGAAACGGGACTAGTCATGGGTGCCTCATGGGCTGGCTTGGGGATTAAATGAGGTTTGACACAGAAAGCCCTGAACACAGGGCACTTAAGAGCATCTGCCATCTCTCTTTATAGCTGCCATTTTTTTTTCTCTTGCCATGGAGGGAAATAAGTAGGAAAAAAATGAATCCAGAGTCCTGTAGTCTACGTGCTGTTCTGTCTCTGGAGACAGATGGAGAGAGGAAGAAAGTGCAAGGAGGTTATTGGTTGAGTTAGAAATTTCTTTTCTTGAATAAAAGTGATTGGAAAGTTACAGAAAACATAAAAGAGATCCATTACTGTTTTTTTTTTTTTGAGACAGAGTCTCACTCTGTCACTCAGGCTGGAGTGCAGTGGCGTGATCTCAGCTTACTGCAACCTCCACCTCCAGGGTTCAAGCAATTCTCCTGCCTCAGCCTCCTAAGTAGCTGGGATCACAGGTACACGCCACTACACCTGGCTAATTTTTGTATTTTTAGTAGAGACGGGGTGTCACCATGTTGTCCAGGCTGGTCTCGAGCTCCTGACCTCAAGTGATCTGCCCGCCTCGGCCTTCCAAAGTGCTGGGATCACAGGCATGAGCCACAGTGCCTGGCCCCATCATTGACATTTCAATACTACCTCTAGATTCCAAGCTCTTTGTGCACTGAGACTCAGCGAATGAACCTTGGCATTCTGCATGTGTCTAGCACTTAGCAGGTTCACAATAAATGCCTGTTGCTCTAAATGGAACCCTACATTCGTCAGCTGGGGCTGCCATAACAAAATACCATAGACAGGGGGCTTAAACCACAGACATTTATTTCCTCATAGTTCTAGAAGCTGGAAATCCAAAAGCATAGTCAGGTTCTGGGGAGGGCTCTCTTTCTGGCTTGCAGATGGCTTCCTTCTTGCTATGTCCTCACATGGCAGAGAGGGGAGAGAGAGAGAGCGCACACACAGGCTCTCTGGTGTCTCTTCTTATAAAAGCCCTAATCCCATCATTAGAGCCCTGCTTTCATGACCTCATCTAAATCTAATTATCTTCCAAAGGCCCCATCTCTAAATACTATCACCTCAAGGTTAGGGCTTCAACATGTGGATTTCAGAAGGATACACTTCAGTCTGTAGCAAGCCCCTAAAATGTCATGCTTCAGCTGCAAAGTAGACACAATCTTGAGCTAAGAAACATGTGTGACAATCCTTGGATAAGGAGGATGGCAGGTGAAAGGGAGTCTACAGTGGGTGTCATAGGGAATCACAGACTCACCTGCCCTCTTCACTCTTGCTGGTGGCAGTGGAGAGTTCAGGAGCTGGAGTTCATTGCGTTGATCCACTGCTGTGAGACCTTGGGCAGGTGTCTTACCCTCTCTGGGCCTAAGTTCCTCTATCAGTAAAATTAAAGCCAGAGGAGACAAGCACTGCCTTTGCCTGCATACCATTTTTCTTTCTTGTAAATGTGTCTTCTTCATTTCTCTTTGGCTGGCGTACTCTCGTTACTCATTAGCACCCTGCCACAGCTATAGAATTGGGCATGTGATCTGGGCCCCATCTTGCAGAGTCCTGGCGATTGGTTCAGGCATAGGCATATGATCCACTCTGGACTAATGAAAAGCTTCCCCAGGATTTCTGAGGGAACTTTTGGGAAGGGGCACTCTCCTTTCCTTAGGGATGTTAGGCTGGGAGGATGGAAGTCTGGGCTCTGGTAGCCAACTTTGCCCCTCTGAGAGGAGACGCCTGTCTAGAATGAAGACAACACAGAAGAAATTGGAGCCCAGAGAAAGAGAATATTTAAGTCAAAAATTCAACTGCAGAGGCTCTTGATCCAGCTATGACTGAAGCCCATCCATACCATTCAACTTTCCAGGTAAAGCCAATACATTATTTTAGGCCTAAGCCAATTTGAGTTGTGTTTCTGTCACAGAAGCCTGTGACTTACACAAATGCATTGGGTGGAGCTAGCTCAGGGTTTTGCATCTGTGCCTGTGGTATGTGATTTTCTCAGGTTTGGGATGGTCTCCGTCCCATATTTTCTCACAATGAAGAGAATTACAACTTTTCTGAATCTTACTTCCCCCCTGAGACGTAGCCGAGCAGCTAGTGTCATCTTGTATAGTTCACACTGTTGGTTGCCTTTCCAGCATTCTTGCCCCTCTTCCGCCCCCCATTTTGTTCAAGTTCCCAGCCCCCTCCCCACCAAGTCACTTGCCTTAGGGGAAGGCGAGCCCACTGGGTTGCAGAAGAATCCCATTCCTCCTCTCAGGCACTGATTCAGGAATGGGTGTGTGACCCAGCTCTGGCTGTGTTATTCTGTTCTCACGCTTCTAATAAAGACATACCTGAGACTGTATAATTATAAAGGAAGGAGGTTTAATTGACTCACAGTTCCACATAGCTGAGGAGGCCTCACAATCATGGCAGAAGGCAAGGAGGAGCAAGTCACATCTTACATGGTGACAGGTAGGAGAAGAATGAGAGCCAAGTGAAAGGGGGAACCCCTCATAAAACCATCAGATCTTGTGCAACTTAATCACTACCAGGAGAAGAGTATGGGGGAAACCACCCCCACGATTTAATTAGCTCCCACTGGGTCCCTCCCACAACATGTGGGAATTATGGGAGCTACAATTCAAGATGAGATTTGGGTGAGGACCCAGCCAAACCATATCACTGGCCAAAGGGATATGAGGAAAAATTTGCTGGGTGTGGTTTCTAGAAGCCTCCCAAGATCTATGAGAAAACCTCTGTGAACTTTGTCCCAGTGGAACCATTGCCATGTCCCAGTGGAACCATTGCCACCATCTTGCTTTGTCCTGAGGAAGAAACCCTGAAGATGGCAAAACAAAGAGATGGAACGTGCCTGCAACTGGGGTGACATGGTTGAACCACAAAGTCACCCACCTTGAGATCTGCTCCACTTGCAGGATCCCCGTTATGTGAGATCATAGTTGTCCCTCTCACTTAAACCAATTTTGAGTCTAGATTTCTGTTACTTACAATCAAAACTGTCTTGAGCAATATGCTCTCATTTTATAGATGAAATAAATAATTTCAGAGAAGGAAAGTAGCTTTCTCCAATATCTTGTCAAGATTATTTGGTTGCAAGTAACAGAAACCTGACTCAAACAGCTTGAGAAATAAAAAAGGAATTTAGGGCAGAAGTAAATTCAGAGTACAGAAGTAGACAAATGGCCCTCCACTGGTACATGGTGAATATACTGTAGCACATTCATACACTGGGCTATTATTATCCAGTAATGAAAAAGAATAAACTACCGAATGTCAACAACATGAACCTCAAATGCATTTTGCTAAGAGGAAGAAGCCAGACTCAAAAGGCTGCGTAGTGCATGATTTCATTTATATGACAATCTGGAAAAGACAGAACTTTACAAACAGGAAACAGATCAGTGGTTGCCAGGGGCTGCAGGGTGGTGGGGAGTAGGAGAGCAGATTACAAAGAACCAAGGAATGTGAGGTCAGGGGATAGAACTGTTCTGTATCTGGATTGTGGTGCTGGTTACACAACTGTATGTGTTTGTCCAAATGCACAGTAAAAAGGGAGAATTTTACTGTATGTGTATGTTATACTTTAAAAAATAAAAATAGGCCAGGTGTGGTGGCTCATGCCCGTAATCCCAGCACTTTGGGAGGCAGAGGCAGGTGAATCACTTGAGGTCAGGAGTTTGAGATCAGCCTGGCCAACATGGTAAAACGCCATGTCTATTGAAAATACAAAAATTTAGCTGGGCATGGTGGTGCATGCCTGTATTCCCAGCTACTCAGGAGACTGAGGCAGGAGAATCACTTGAACCCGGGAGGTGGAGGTTGCAATGAGCTGAGATTGAGCCACTGCACTCCAGCCTGGGCAACAGAGCAAGACTTATCTCAAAAAAATAAAAATAAAAATAATTAATTAATTAATTAAAAATAAAAAAAGTCCTGGGGTAGAAGGGGAAGTATTGCTTAAAGAGTACAGAGTTTCTGTTTGGGGTGATAAAAAATTTTAGAAATAGTGATTTTTGTTGCACAACCTTGCGAATGCCATTAATGCGTTGAACATTTAAATGTATTATACAACTCTCTCTTATGTAGAAGGGTCTTATTCTGGATATTAAAAGAAACTATAAATCTGGAAAGTGAGAAAATGGAGGAAGTCTCAAGTTATAAGCTCACTTCTAAGCAAAGTTGGATTTTTTTTTTTACAAGACCCTAAGATTTTATGGAATAACCAAGAACAACACAACCAACAACACCTCATGAGAAGCTGAGGATGATGCAACATGAGACTCTTCTTGAAGATGTGTCCTCATCACAGTAGACCCAGTCTAACTTTTCCCTTTCTGAATATTATGACATTTCAAAATAGTGATCGATTCTCTAAAGGCTAAGAGCATTTCTGAGTAGCATAGTAGCCACACTCCCAATCTCCTTCACACTCACATTTTAGAATCGAATGCCCACATGACATCAGATATTTGCATCAAAGGAATCAGAGTGGGATGTGGGAAGGTGGGCAGGGACCAGATCAAAGGAGACAGCCAGGAGATGACAGCACTGGGGTTTGTTCTGTTAGCTCCACGTGGCTGGGGGAGCCTCACAGTCATGGTGGAAGGCAAGGAAGAGCAAGTCACGTCTTACACGGATGGCAGCAGGCAAAGAGACAGCAATTTTAAAGACTTTAATACAAGGGAGAGGACACTATGGGCAAGCAGTGAGAGGGCTGGCTGGGCAAGATGGTAAGGATTCACAAAGGAGGTAGAGCTGTACATTTAAAAATGGTTGAAATGCGAATTTTATGTTATAGATAATTTACCATGATTTTAAAAGGAAAGGAGGAGGAAGGAAAAGAAAAGAGAGAGGAAGAAAGGAAGGAAGGAAGGAAGGAAGGAAGGAAGGAAGGAAGGAGATTTTTGGATTTCAGGCATGGCTGGATCCAGGATTCTCTCCATCTCTCAGGCTCCTTATTCCCCCACCTTGGCTTTATTCTCAGCAGGCTCTCTCCAAATGGGGACAAAGTTGGTATTTGGCAGTTTCAGGTACCATTTTAGGTATCAACCAGCCACTTTACAAGAGGAAAGTGCCTCCATGCCAGTAGCTCCTGAAAGTCCAGGGTTGTGTCTCATAGGCTTGCCTTGGGGCATGAGCTCCCCCCAACAACCAATTGCTGGGGCAAATGGGTTTGAATGACCTGATTGGCCAAACCTGGGTCACATGCCCACTCCTAGGGACATTGGAGGAGCCCCATCCAAACCCCAAGAACAGAGAGCAGGGAGAGACAGACCTCAGAGAAAACCAAGGCACTTGTGCCAGCCGCCCCTATACCCAAGTTACATGTTGAATGGCCCAGCCCCAATTCTCTGCCCGACATTTCTGCAGGCTGTGCATTCTGTCCTTGCATTCTCTCCAGCAAAGCCCACGTAGGTACAACATACACTCATCATTCCGTCCCTGGGTTTGCATAAAAACCCACGTCCACGAAGTAGCAACTGCAATGTTTTTCAATCACACAGCAAAGATATTTAAAAATATCACCCATATGTGTTTTAAATACAGGCAAATAGCTGGCAAGGCAGCCGGCTTCACACCCGCGTGCCATTCTGAGTTATAATCTTCTCGCTTCCAACTCTCAAAATCACACGTTGAAGGCCAGATGAGCCCAGAACGCAAAGGCTGTGCATCTCCCCGGAATCTTCCCGACCTGCGCAGTCCAGCTTTCTTTCCTGGTGGAGGAGATGTGAAGGATCCTGGAAAGAAATTGGAGGGCCCTGGGCTTGAGCTGAAATCATTTGCTCTCCACTGAGAATACAGAAATGGAACCAGGAATTTGTTAATGACTTTCACTCCAACCTCCTTCCTGAAACCCTCCTTTTCATCCAGCCCAGCCAGCTCTCTCACTGTCCCCTTCCTGCCTGCCTCTAGTGTCCCCTCTCTCATGTTAAAGTCTTTAAGATCCAACATCTCAGCTAGGTTGCTAGCTGATTTATAGTTTCCTTTAATATCCAAAATAATGTCCTTTTACTATAAGAGATAATTCCAACTCAAACAGGCTAAAAATAGAATAGATTATCTTAATCTTACACAAGAAGTGCAGACGTAGGCGAACTCAGGTTTGGGTGATCAGTGGCTATGTGATATCAACTCTCTCTGTGTGGCCTTTAACCTTGGCCTGCTTCCCCTAATGGCCCCAAAGTGGCTGCCCCAGCACCAGGTATCAACACCTGGACACAGAAGCATCCACAGTAAACCTTCGCTAGAAGCACCTCTGCAGACCTTCCCTCACATCTCATTGGCTAAAACAGTCACATGTCCAGGCCTAGACCAATCACCAACAAGGGTAATGCAGGCATCGTAATTGGTTTAGACTTTAGATTAATCAAGATTTAGCTCTGAAATTGGGGAGAGTCATCCTCAGCTTCCTCTGAGTCAGGATTTTGGGCAGATGGACATGCCCACAAAATTGAGAATGTGCCAGCAAGGAATATGGGGAGCATGGTTGTGAGGTTAATGTAACAGGCCCCATCAGTACCCCACCCCTGTTTGCTTATCATCTCATTTCAGGACAAGCCTTCTGACTGCCAACTGCTAGCACCTACATGTCACTGGCAGAAGGGTTTCCCTGGCTGCGGTAGCTCACCTTGCCCACCCACACAGGAATCTGGAAGAGCCAGGGAAGGTATGCCCCTTGGTGGTACCCCTTGGCAATGACTGATGGCTGTTGGTGTGTAAATACCCCAGCTCCCTCACTCCTCAGACAGGATAAGGCTGAGGGCGTGTGTTACTTTGTCTACAGCATTTCCTGGTGGATTAAACCATAGGCAACCAAGTTGATAAGTCATTTTTTAATGGGCTTCCTTCCCTTCCCTGTCTCACTTCCCCATTGCTCTGTGTCTCTGCCCTACAGTCATGCACCATATAACAACATTTCAGTCAATGTTGTACCACATATACCACAGTTGTCCCATGATGTTATAATGGAAATGAAAAATTCCTATCACTCAGTGACATGATAGCCATCATCACATTGTAGCCCAATGCATTACCTTTTCTATGTGTAGATATATTTCGATGCACAGATTCTTACTACTGTATTGCAGTTGGCTATGGTATTCCATACAGCACTATTCTGTGCAGGTTTGTAGCCTAGGAGCAATAGGCTAAACCGTATGGCCTAGATGTGTATAGGCTAGACCATCTGGGTTTGTGTAAGGACACTCCATGATGTCCGTGCTATGTCATTACCTAACCACGCATTTCTCAGAATGTATCCCCATTGTTTAGTGACACATGACTGTACTTGCATTTGAGTGCTAATCTTGGGGTCTACTACTGGGGGTACTCAAAATCAAGCAGTTGGATAGGACTGCCTGCTGCAGAATGAAGATGGAAGAAGAAGAGGGGGAATAAGAAGAAAGAGGGATCCGGGCATGGTGGCTCATGCCTGTAATCCCAGCATTTTGGGAGGCCAAGGGGAGCAGATCATGAGGGGTCAGGAGCTCGAGATCCACCTGGCCAACATGATGAAACCCCATCTCTACTAAAAATACAAAAATTAGCCAGGTGTGGTGGCACCCACCAATAATCCCAGCTACTCGGGAGGCTGAGGCAGGAGAATCATTTGAGCCAGGTAGGCAGAGGTTTCAGTGAGCAGAGATTGCACCACTGCACTCCAGCCTGGGTGACAGAGTGAGACTCCAACTGAAAAAAAAAAAAAAGAAGAAGAAGAAGAAGAAAGGGGGAAGAAGGAAGAAGAGGAGGAAGAAGAAGAAAGAGGAAGAAAGAAGAAGAGGAGAGGCAGGGTCAGCTCGGAGGAGGCGCTTTCTCAGAAATCTGGGAAGCTCTTATAATCCGCAATCCATGGATGGCATCCCTTGCTTTCTCTAATCCCTTCCTCTGGGCTCTGGCCTCTCCCTGCTCCCTCTGCCTTGGTGCTGCATGAGCCTGATGGAATGCATATCCTGTGCTGGGTATGCTGGATGTTTCTAGCTCATTTAGTCTTGTGCACCCCCGACCTAACCTCCTATGAAGCTGGTGTAGGTCCATAGTCCCTTGTCTGCAATTTCAAAATCCCCAAAGCTTTGGAATTCGAAAGGTTTTATTTTCAAGTTTACGTGGCAAGTTCATTTGACTGAAAAGTCTGACCAGGACTTGTAGAATGTATAGACTTAAAAAACAAAACAAAACAAAACAAAAACACTTAATATGAACAGCCATCCATTTGCTGCAGAAATATCAATGTGCTTGGTCACAGGGTGCTGCCCAGATCCTGCGTGTAACTAACACTCAGTATACAGTATTCCAAACCTCTGAAGAATTCTGAACTCCAAAATACATCTTGTCCCAAAGAGTTTAGATGAAGTGAGTTATGGAAGTTTGATTAATTTTATTATCATCTCCAATTCACAGATGAGGAAACTGAGACTCAGATAGGGTCAGTAGCTTGCCCAAGTTTGTATAGCGAGTGTGGCCTGGATTTAAACTTGGCACATCTAATGTCAAAGCCAAGGTCAGTACCCAATAGAATCCTTCAATCCTTGCCACCCACATTCTCAAATTTTGCCATATCCATGTATCATCTATGTTATTATTTTTTAAATATTTTTTCTCTAACTTGGCTCACTTTTTACTTAAATAAGTGTATTTGTAAAAGGAAACTTCCTATCACCACTCTAAGTAGAAAACTGGCATCTCTTGCCCTAAATAGAAAGGAGATACTTATAAATAAATATGTTGAGAGTAATGAATTACATTTTTGCCTGCCAGAGGGACTGAGCCTGTAACCTGCTCTCTCTCTATTTAAAAGAGAGATTTCTTTTTTCAAGTTACAGATGCACTAGCATCTAACTGAAACTTGCACTTTGGGAATGATCAGAAAGATTGAGAGACATTTGAAATAGGGCCAGAGGAGGAATGTAAGAACAGCTGCTGTCAAATTGCCCATCTTCCATTTGAGGTGTGGATGGGGTTTGAAGTGGAAATTAAATTGGCTTAAAGAACATAAGGAGGTCGGGCATGGTGGCTCATGCCTGTAATCCCAGTACTCTGGGAGGCCAAGGCGGGTGGATCACTTGAGGTCAAGAGTTTGAGACCAGTCTGGCCAACATGGTGAAACCCTGTCTCTGCTAAAAATACAAAAATTAGCTGGGCATGGTGGCACGCACTGGTATCCCCAGCTACCTGGGAGACTGAGGTGAAAGGATAGTTTGAACCCAGGAGGCGGAGGTTGCAGTGAGTTGAGATCGCACCATTGCACTCCAGCCTGAGCAATAGAGCGAGACCCTGTCTCAAAAAAACAAAAAACAAAAAAGAATATAAGGAGACCCACTGTCTCTTGTACACCTTGTCTGTGAACTGAGATGTGTACCTAATACCCATGGAGCCAGAAACCAGGTGTCCCCATACATGCAAAGTCTGTCTGGCACATCTTTCCCCAAGGAGAGTCTTGGTAGCCCTGTCTTTCAGACCTGGACAGCCCCCAAGATGCTGCAACCTGCTCCTTCCCCCAGATTGTCCCTTCTCTCAGCACTCTCTTCTTCGAGGACAAGGACTTTCTCACCAATATCTGTGGGACTCCAGGATGAGGCTACAGATTTGTTGGCATCCTAACAATTTCTCTACCTAAGGCCGTCTATGCATTTTTCCTTGATTAAGAAGAGCAGAGCTTCCAGCATAGACAGAAGAGGATTTGAGAGATGCCAAGCCTGGCATCCCCTGCTTAGACCAATGTGATGTTAACCATGGAAGGCTGTACGAGACAATGCTTTACGAGGTGCTGTGTTTCCATTTGTCCCACCATGACTCCCAAGGGATAGAGGCTCCATCGTCCTGGGTGCCTGAGTGAGGGTGCTTGGGCAGAGCCCTAAGCTGACCCACAGTGGACACATAACAGGAACAAGAAACATACATTTGTTGTCTTAAGCCTCTGTGGTTTGGGGATTGTTACTGAGGAGGCCAGGAAAAGTCTGATGCACACAAATCCTACTTTCTCCAAGGAACCTTCCTTGTAACTCCAACCCAAGCTCTCCTTTTTCCTACCTTGACTGTCTACAAATACCATCTTTTCCCTCCTTCCCTTCCTCCCTCCTCCCTCTCTCTTTTACCTCTGTCTTTCCTCCCTCCCTTCTCTTCTTCTCTCTCTCATCCTTCCTTCTTTCCTTTTTTTTTTTTTTTTTTAACAATTTTTTTCCTTTTTTTTTTTTGAGACAGAGTCTCACTCTGTCACCAAGGCTGGAGTGCAGTGGCACGATCTCGGCTCACTGCAACCTCCCATTCCCTGATTCAAGTGATTCTCCTACCTCAGGTTCCCAAGTAGCTGGGATTACAGGCATGTGCCACCATGCCCAGCTAATTTTTGTATTTTTAGTAGAGACGGGGTTTTGCCATGTTGGACAGGCTGGTCTTGAACTCCCGACCTCAGGTGATCCACCTGCCTCAGCCTCCCGAAGTGCTGGGATTACAGGTGTGAGTCACCGCATCCGGACTTAAGAGGTATTTTCTGAGTGCCTACTATGCAGAATTCATGCAGAATTCTGTGACATCAGTGCTCCATTCCAGGCTATATTGTGCCATGTTATCCTCGAACTGTCTCTCACCCAAGGCAGTTTCATGTCTTTTGGACTGTGATAGCCAAAAGGATAGTAACTCTTGAGACGTCGTCATTGTTGTGTCTCCAACACCAAGCACAAAGTGGGTTTGATGAATTACCTGTTGGCTGATGGAGGGAACAAATCATAAGCTCCTCTGGACCTTGCACCATGAACATATTTTTGCAGACCCACTGGCCTCTTGCAATGGGCTCATAGAAATATGTTCTGGTTGGATTGGGTGTATCTGAAAGTGTCCGGGAATCCACGTCTGGAGCCCACTCATTGTGTCCACTGGGTCTTCTTCTAGGAGATGCTGATGGGCAAGACCTCATCTCTTTTCAGCACAGGCATCACCATAGAAGTAAACGCCAAGAGGATAGCTGCCTCTCCCTTACCCTCCACAATTCTCATTTTCTTGGGTACCCCTAGACACCTTGCTTTAAGAAAACTGACATGAGGCTGGGCATGGTGCTCATGCCTGAAATCCCAGCGTTTTCGGAGGCTGAGGCAGGAGGAATGCTTGAGGCCATGAGTTAGAGACCAGCCTGGGCAGGATAGCAAGACCCCACCTCTACAAAAAATATTAGCTTGGTATGGTGACATGCACCTGTAGTCTCAGGCACTTGGGAGGCTGAGGCAGGAGGATTGCTTTAGCCAAGGAGTTCAAGGCTGCAATGAGTTATGATCATACTGCTGTTCTCCAGCATGGGTAACAGAGCAAGACCCTGTCAAGAGTAGGAAAGAAGGGAGGGAGGCAAAGAGAAAGAGAGGAAGGAAGGGAGGGAGGGAGAGAGAAAGAGAGGAAGGAAGGAAGGATGGAGGGAAGGAAGGAAGGAAGGAAGGAAGGAAGGAAGGGAGGGAGGGAGGGAGGGAGGGAGGGAGGGAGGGGGACATGAAGATTGGAACTTACCCAAATGATCAGTAGTCATCTTCAACAACTGTCATGCACTTACTCTGCACCAAATCCATTCACTAGATGATTTCAGACCTTCACAGTTGCCCAGCAAGGAAACTGAAGTCCAGAAAAACAAAGAGCCCCCAGGGTCACACACTAAGTGGCAGAGAGGATGTTTAGTCCTTACATGTCCCTCAAACCAAACAATACTCCACTTCCCTGTTGCAAAATTTATTTTGATCTATTGCAGATATGAGAAGAGGTGAAGAACAACATTACAGCATCTGTACACCTGCAACCCAGCTTAAAAAAATACAAGATGACCAGCTAACACCCCTCTACCTATCGCTCCCCAAGTTCAGTCCTTCCTCACCTGACCAGATTATCTCTATCTTGAATTTGGGGCTTATTATCCCTATGAATTAATGTGGTTTTTTGTTTGTTTGTTTGTTTGTTTTGTTTGTTTTTTCGAGACAGAGTCTCGCTCTGTCGCCAGGCTGGAGTGCAGTGGCGCGATCTCCGCTCACTGCACCCTCTGCCCCCCAGATTCAAGCAATTCTCCTGCCTCAGCCTCCTGAGTAGCTGGGACTACAGGCACGTGCCAGCATGCCCGGCTAATTTTTTTTTTAAATTTATTTAATAGAGACGGGTTTTCACCGTGTTAGACAGGATGATCTCGATCTCCTGACCTCGTGATCCGCCTGCCTTGGCCTCTCAAAGTGCTGGGATTTCAGTCGTGACCCACCGAGCCCGGCCAGTTTTTTGTTGTTGTTGTTGGGTTTTTTGTTTGTTTGTTTGTTTGTTTGTTTGTTTTTGAGATGGAGTTTTGCTTTTTTTTTGCCCAGGCTGGAGTGCAATGGCATGATCTCGGCTCACTCCAACTCCCCATCCCAGATTCAAGTGATTCTCCTGCCTCAGCCTCCCGAGTAGCTGGGATTACAGGCACGTGCCACCACACCTGGCTAATTTTGTATTTTTAGTAGAGACAGGGTTTCACCACGTTGGCCAGGCTGTTCTCAAACTCCTGACCTCAGGTGATCTGCCCACCTCAGCCTCCTAAAGTGCCAGGATTACAGACGTGAGCCACCGCGCCCAGCCTGAATTAATGTTTTATTGAGACTTGTGAATGTGTCCTGAAACAATATATAGCAGAGTATTGCCTGTTTTAAAAGTTCATATACATAATATTCTATTATTTGTGTTTTTCAGTCCCTCGTTTTTTTCACTCAGCGTGACTGTGTGAGAATCATCCATGTTGACTTATGTAGCTCTGATTCATTTATTTTTCCCACTTATAGAATTCTATTGTGTAAATACTGTACAATTTATTTATCCAGTCTACTGCTGATGGGCATTTGGTGACTACCTTTTTCCTTTTGTTTTTGGTGACAGGATCTTGCTCTGTCGTCCAGGCACAAGTGCAGTGGCATGATCACGGCTCAAGGCAGCCTCAACCTTCCAGGCTCAAGTGACCCTCCCTCCTCAGCCACCCAAGTAGCTGGGACTAGAGATGCACACTACCATGCCTAGCTAATTTTTGTATATATATATTTGGTAGAGATGGGGTTTTGTCATGTTGCCAGGCTGGTCTTGAACTCCTGGGCTCATGTGATCCACCTGCCTCAACCTTCCAGAGTGCTGGCATTACAGGCATGAGCCACCACATCTAGCCCCTCTTTTTAATAACTGTTGTGAACAATCTTTTATAAACAATCTTATATAAAGATACAAATCATTTGCGTCCTGTCCTGGTACAAGAGTCTCTGCTGGGAATATTCCTAGGAGTAGATCGCTGGAACATACAGCATGCATGTTATCTGCTTCACTGGATGTAGCTGGATTGTGTTCTAAGGTGGTTGTACTAGTTAGACCCACCTCCTGCCCCTAGAGTGTATGAGGGCTCCAGTTGTTCCACATCCTTGCCAACACTTGTTCTTACCAGGCATTAACATTTTGGCCAATCTGGTGAGTGGGATACCTCATTTTGGTTTTATTTTGAAGCTTTCCTAATTATCAGAGAGGCTGAGCAGCTTTTCCTGTACTTATTGGCCATCTGAGTTTCCTCCTCTGTGAAATGCCCATTCATGGCTGTCACATGCAGTTCTAGAAAGGGATGTTTTGGCTGAGCATGATGGGTCATGCCTGTAATTTCAGCACTTTGGGAGGCCGAGGCGGGAAGATCTCCAGAGCCCAGGAGTTGGAGGCCAGCCTGGGCAACATAGTGAGACTCTCTCTACCAAAAAAAAATTAGCTGGGTGTGGTGGCAAGCACTTGTAGTTCCAGCTGCTTGAGAGGCTGAGGTGGGAGGATGGCTTGAGTCTTGGAGGTCGAGGTTGCAGTGACCTATGATCGTGCCACTGCATTCCAGCTTGGGTGACAGAGGGACACCCTGTCTCAAAAAAAAAAAAAAAAAAAAAAGGAATCTTTTTCCAGCGCCAGTGGGGCTATGTACATCTTTATTTCTTTGTCATCGTGAGCTTGGCAAAGAAGCTGACATTCAAGACCTTCACGCAAAGGAGGAAGCAGGGAGAGGGTTAAGGAGAAGCTGGGCAAAGATCTGGGATTCTCCTCTACTTATCTCAGTGATGCCCCTTGAAGTAAGATTGGACGGCGGCTCTCACGACCCCTTAGCACTCGGGAGGACTCATCTTTCCAAAGTGATGAATCTTCATGCTGACAAAGTTGAGTCATGCAGAGAGCGTCACTCCCCTTTCACAGATGTAAAATAAGAAAAACGAGGCCTGGGAGGTGCTAGACGGCAGTGGCTTGTCCGAGGACACATGGTATCATGACTCTGGCTAGCTGTGCGTAAGACCTGCTGGGACTGCAGAACACAAAGTGGCGCAGGCCACCAGGAAGACTGGCAGGAGCACCAGGGAACCTCATTCCTGGGCCAGAGTGGGTCCCCTCAAGGCAGTTGGATGGCCTAAGGGTGGACTCAATGGGAACCCACAGCTAATTGCAAGGAGCCCATAGTCTTAGGTCAGGGGGCTACAGCAGCTGAAAGCACAAAGTCCCATGGTGCCCAGGCTGTGTGACCTCAGGGGTTCATCCAGGTTGGCAAAGCCACAGGATTGGCTCAGGAAGGGGTGCTGGGTCCAGCTTCCAGGGGGATGGCTATAGATCCATCTGCTGCAGTTACAAGTAGGACCCACAGCATAGAGACTCAGTGCGTGAGATGTTGGTTTCTTAGCCACGGACCAGTCCTCAGCAGGTGTTTCTGGGTGCCAGAGGCTTCCCCCAACCTGCCATTCAGAAACCCTGCCTCCTCCCTACCCTTAGGTCTTGCAGCCTTCTCCTGGGACCAGTGGGCTAGCCCAAAAATGTTCTTTCCATGGCAAAGGCCATGGCCCAAAAAACAAATGAAGCACACAACATTTCTTGAGACGTGGGCTCAGAACCAGCAGACCAACACTTCTGCCTCGTTCTGTGTGCCAAAGCAGCTCACATTGCCAAGTTCAAGATCAAGAGGCAGGAAAATCACCCTCACCCACAGTGGGAAGGTCATTCGAAGTCATCTGGCATTGGGCACACAGAGAGGGAAGGGGAAGAACTGGTGCCAGTGACACCATCTACCACAGGCAGGTATTATTATTCTCATTTTCTTTCTTTTTTTTTTTTCCTTGAACAAGGTCTCACTCTGTCACCCAGGCTGGAGTGCAGTGGCACAATCTCGGCTCACTGCAACCTCCATCTCCCAAGTTCAAGCGATTCTCCTGCTTCAGCCTCCTGAGTAGCTGGGATTACAAGCGCCCACCATCATGCCCGGCTAATTTTTTATATTTTTGGTAGAGATGGGGTTTCGCCATGTTGGTCAGGCTGGTCTCCAACTCCTGACCTCAAGTGATCCACCCACCTTGGCCTCCCAAAGTGCTGGGATTACAGACATGAGCCACCGCGTCCAAATTAAGCTGATGTCCAGAGAGGTTAAGCAACCGGACTTAGACGCAGCCAGGTAGTCGCAGAATCAGGATTCAAAGCCAGTAGCTCCTGCACCACCCCCTGCCACATTGAAAGTTGACCCCTCTATTGCTGGCATCATCGGGCAGTCATTTTCCATTGACTTTTAACTAAAGTGTGGGGTGCACACTTTCCCTTGCAGAATCTCTCTTTTCTAATAGCTTCTTGTCTGGGCCGCCATCTGTCCCTCTGCCCCATGGCGTTGCTTCAGCAGTGGGGCGAGGCCCCACCAGCCAGGTTTCCCCCAACCTTCACACTACTTAGCAACATCTAGCAGATGCAAGTTTTCTGACACGGGCTCCCAGGATTAGCAGATGCTCTTTCATGAGCATCATTTCCATCATGTTTATTACTTCCCTGAGATTATCTTAATTCCATAGTCCCCAGGAGACACATGATGCTTATGTGGCCATGTGGCCCCTGGAGATTGGAAGGAAGTGTAGGCCTGCTGGGGCTTCTTGTGGTGGAGGACTTGCCCTCTAAAACAGACTTCAGCTCCTAGAGAAGCTTCTAGACCTGGGGGAGGCTGGGAGGTCCAAGCAGTTATGACAGCTCGGTGGGAGTAGGAAAAGGGAGAAATCCAGAGGGCTCTGGAGTTAGCCTGTCTGGATTTTAATTCACTGTCTAGCTCCATGACCCTGGACAAGTTACTTCCCCTCTGTGCCTTCAGTGTCCTCATCTGTAAAATGGGGATAATAATAAAAGTGCTGGCTGGGTGTGGTAGCTCCTACGTGTAATCCTAGCACTTTGAGAGGCCCAGGTGGGAGGATCGCTTGAGCCAGGGAGTTTGAGACCAGCCTGGGCAACATAGTGAGACTCCATCTCTTAAAAAAAAAAAAATTAGCTGGATATGGTGGCACACATACCTATAGTCTTGGCTGCTCAGGAGGCTGAGACGGGAGGATCGCTTGAGCCCAGGAGTTCGAGGCTGCAGTGAGCTGTGATTGTACCAGTGCACTCTAGCCTAGGCAACAGAGTGAGACCTGTCTCAAAAATAGTAATAAAAGTGCCTACCTGTGGGGTCGTTATGAAGTTATATGAATTAATTCTTGGTGCTTAGATCAGTGCCTAGCACATAGTGATTAATTATAATTGATTTGAATGATGTAAGTATTATATTGGGCTCCTAAGGGTCAGCTCCACCCAGGCCTCCAAGTATCACTCATTTCCCCCAAACATCGATGCTGATCATGCAGCCTGCATTCAGGGGGCACCTGTGGTTGCCAGGCTCTTCGCATGCATTGTCTTATTGTCACAACACTAGGAGGTCCCCATTAACCAGACTGGGAAACTGAGGTTCATAAAGGTGGAGTGATGGCCAGGTGGAGTGGCTCATGCCTGAATCCAGCACTTTGAAAGGCTCAGCGGGGAGGATGGCTTGAGGCCAGGAGTTGGAGAGAGGTAAAGCAACTTGCCCAAGGTCACAACTACAAAGTGGCAGAGGTAGGATTCAAATCAGAGTTCAAACCTGGTTGCTGTGATTCCAGACCTGCTTCTTGCAGTCCCTAAGCATTCTTGTGTTTGGTTTGGGAGGAAGGAGGAGGGAAACAGACTTCGCTTCCACGATGTTGATGGTTTCTTCCAACCACCCTTTTGGGGGTTTTGACCCACTTTACAGCTGAAGAAACAGGTTCAGGCAGGTGGAGTGACTCACCCAGGGTCACACACCAAGGAAGAGGCACAGCTGGGGTTTGCATCCTCATTTGGGCTTGGGTCTGACTTCAGACTCGTCCTAGGCTCTGTCCTGAGATACATAGCAATTGCTTTGCGTTCTGGTGTTATCTCCTTCCTCTGAATATCTGTTTGAGAACTTTACACCCATTTTACAGCTCGGTGGATGGGGCCTGGGAGAAGCCAGCGAGTGACAGAGCAGCGACTCAAACCCCTGCCTCTGGATCTGATCCTCTTTTTTGTCTTGGGCAAGGAAATTGCTGCTTGGGGAAAGGAAAAGATAGGAGGAGAGAAGGAAGCTTTAAGTGGGTAGGGGTGCCCCCAAGTCTAGCTTTGGGCTCCCTCAGTTATCACCAGTCAGGTTGGGGGCTGCCCAGAGCCCTCATTCAGGTCCCAAGGGCGCCCAGGCTTGGCGTATACACCGAGTGTCCACCAGGTGGGGCTTTTGCCAAAGGCCAGGCTCCGGGAAGCCCCAGGAGAGGCCAGGCTGCCCCACCCAGGGAAGGGAAGGTACAACTGGACATACCCTCCTGCCTGTATCTTGGCAGGATACTCACTCGTGTGCACACGCAAGCTGTGCAAACGTGTGTGTGAGCACACAGCCATGTCTCAGAAAACCTGTTTCTGGCTCGTGTGCAAATGTGCATGAAAAGATGTGCATGGGACATGCAGGTGTGTGTGCATGTGTGTGTTCATTTATGTGCAAACATGAATACATGTGAGCAGTGCAGAATAGGTGAGTGCAGGTGTGAGCAAGTGTAGACAGGAGCATGTGCAGATGTCTATCTGTGCATCTGTGTGTGCACATATGTGCAAATATGTACATATGTGAGTGTGTGCAGAAAAGGGTGTGGGCACATGGGTGGCAGATTAGACCCTGACCTTGGGTGCTGAGGTTCATTTTAGAGTCTCTTTCTTAGGCTCCAAAAATGGAGGCAAGGGGATGGAACCAATGACCTCTTGAGGTCCCCAATGCCTGGTACATTTGCCAGAGACCCTGATGGATGCCAAGGACTTGGAGCAAGAAGAGTCATGGCACAAGGGGCTGGATGTGCTTCCCGGGTCAGGGAGTGTGGCAGCGGGGCTGGTTGTGCTTCGTGGGTCAAGGAGTGTGGCAAGAGGGGCTGGATGTGTTTCCTGGGTCAGGCAGCGTGGCAAGAGGGGCTGGATGTGCTTCCTGGGTTAGGGAGTGACTGAATGGGGGGATTTTGCTCCCCCAGATGCTGAATTCTTTAGTACTCAGAGGTTTCTGCAGTGTGAGGGATGGAGACTCACCCTTCAGAGAAGAGCTTTGAACCTTCCTCCTGGATGCTCAGAGCTCTGGGGAATGTGGCCCGAATCTGTGGCCGCAAGAGGGGATTGGCTCTGACTTCCAGGCCTGACTCAGCCCCTCACCAGCTGTGCAGTAAATGTAAGGTCCCACGAAGGAGTTAGAGGTAGTCGAGAAAGGGAAGGGGTGGCATTAAAAGTCAAGAACTGGAGCCTTGGCATCAAAGAGAACAGGCTTTGACCCCTGCCTTTGTTGCTCACAGGCTGGGTGACCTCGGACAAGTCACTCACCCTCTCTGATCCCCCATTTCCTCAGCTATTAAAGGGAGGAAACAGCCACGCTTACCTCCAAATGCTGTCAGGGAAGGAAATTAGATGACGGGGAGAGCGAGCCCAGCCCCATGAGGCCAAGTGGATCAGTTTTTGGTTTGCGGAAGCCAAGAGCTGAGAATCCAGAAGTTCCAAGGGGATTGAGGGAGTGGAAAGGCAGGGACTGGCTGCCAGGGCAGCAGACATGTTCCTTCTCCCCTCCCACTTGTGCCCCCCCCAACACCTGCCCCCGTTGGCTCCAATTTGTCTGAATGGCATCTTTATCCCTGCTTCTCTCCTGCCCTGAGCACTGGCAGCAGAAGCTTAAACAGGGCAGGAAGGGAGGGTGGGAGGAGGAGAAGAGCAGGCTTTTGTAGCAGGGCTGCCAAAGGGTGCACGTTTTCCTGACCAGCTTCTAAATTGTGCTCAGCCATCGTCCTGCTGAGTGAACTCAGGTGGGCTATTCCACCTCTCTGAGCCTCAGTTTACTTATCTGTAAAATGGACACAGGCATGCTCAATGTGAGATTTGGGGAGAATGCTGGGGATGGCCTCAGTGCATAGTAGGCACCATTATGACAACAATGATGACGATGACAATGATGATGATCGTGGAGAGGGACAGAGAAAATGTAAGCATCCACATATCCCTGGCTTACCAAAGGAATAAAAGAATTCTTTCTTTCTTTTTTTGCTTGGCTCCAGGCCCATGTTTTGCTGATGAGACTAAATGTGAGAACCTCCGATTTGAAGAAGAGGGAGGAGAAATGTGAGCCCAAGGAGGAAGAAGAACAAAGGAAGAGGGAGAAGAGGAGAAGGAGCTGGAGAATTGGAGAGTGAGCGATGAGAGAGAGAAGACGAATGAGCTGTTTGTAGGGAGAGAAATTAAAAATAGAGCCTGGAGAGGCTGCTTTAATGACGGGGACTTAGGGGAGAGAAAGAAGCAAAGAGGATCTGAAGGCGGTAAGCCCTCCATGCCTTGCCCTTAAGAAAACCTGTAGCAATAGTCTGCAGTCTTCATTGAGGCTTTGGGGGCCCCGATTGTGGAGTTTTGTTTGGGTGGGTGAAGGGGTGTGCTGGAGGGCTCAGTTCTTCGCAGAGTACAGACAAGGCTGATGTTGCCTTTGGGAGCCCACAGTTCTGGATGCTGATGGAGGAATGGGCCACTGCCCAAGCCAGAAGAATGGGATCTGGGTGAGATGGAGGGTCAAATGGGTGCCCGGAATTCCACAGTGATTGTTTCTGAGGACTTCAGTCACTGTCTCACTTACGCACTGGGCTGCTAAAATAGGAAGGCAGACCTGGAAGGCAGGTGCTTGCCCTGGGGCCAGCTTCTCAGAGGCTCGCACGTTGTGTGCCCAAGGAAGAGCTGTACAGAGCAGGGGCCTCTAGAACATTTGACCTTTGGTGAGCAAGTGTCTCTAAACCTCCTGGAAGCTGCCAGCTGTCAAGTGGCATTTCATTCCGGGGGTACTCAAAGAAAATTCAGTCCTTGTTCTGGCCACAATCCAGTTCGGGAAAGAATCCTGGGCTATTACATGACCAGAGCTATTAGGATGCTTTAAAACAGACAGACAGACAGGCAGACAAACATAGTATAGTGAAGTCAGATTAATCACAATATGATCCTTCCATTCCAATGTTCTGTGCTGTTGGAAAAAAGGAACTAGTTGAATTTCTTCAAATTCATGGTGTGCCGACATCTCCACCTGGGGTTGATCTTGGTGTATGGTGTGAGGTAGAGATCTAATTGTATTTTTCCCATATGGGTAGCCAGCTGGTCCAGCATCATACTGAAAATGAAATCTATCCTTTCCCCACTAGTTTATTATGCCAGCTCTGCCATCTACTCATGTATTGGTTCTAAATTTGTATGAGTCTGTTTCTGGGCTTTTGATTTTGTCCCCTGGGTCAATGTGTCTTACTTGCTCTCTGTTATTACAGCTTTATAAGAAGTCTTCTTCTCTTATAGGAATGATTCTCCTATCTTGTTACTCCTCAAACTTGCCTCGGCTGTTCTTGACCCTTGCATCTTTGTAAGAATTTTTGAGATGGGCTTGTCACGTTTCATGAAAACTCTTATTGAGGTTTTCATTGGAATTGCCTTAAATGTATGAATTAATTTGAGGAGAAATGACATCATCCTGTTAATTCTTCCAGCCCATGAACAGGGAATCTCGCTGTTCAGTCAGCTCTTCTTTTATAGACATCTCAGGTGGGTGTGGTATGTGTATGAGTCAGGGTCCCAGGAAGAAACAGACCCCCACCCCTCCCACAACCAAATGAAGATTCCTGATGAAAAAATAAATTTGTGCTCATAAAAAAGCTTAAAATGATGATGTAGAAATTATCCAGGCATGGTGGCTCATGGCTGTAATCCCAGCACTGTGGGAGGCTGAGATGGGAGGGTCACTTGAGTCCAGGAGTTTGAGACCTCCTGGGCAACATGGCTGGAGTCACAGAGAGACCCCATCTCTACATAAAGTAAAAAATTAGCTGGACATGGTGATGTGCACCTATAGTCCCAGCTACTTCAGGAGCTGAAGTGGGAGGATCTCTTGAGCCCAAGAGGTTGAGGCTGCAATGAACTATGTTTGCACCACTGCACTCCAGGCTGGGCAACAGAGCAAGACTCTGCCTCAAAACAAACAAACAAACAAAAGCAACAGTGACAAAAAAGAAATGATAAGGGCCTGTAAGCCCATTTTCCAGAACTAATATCTGTTAACCATTTGATATCTAGTTTTGTTGACTTTTCCCAAAGCACCACATTTTAAGGAAAGAGATTATTCCATAATGCTGTTCTATAACCTGCTTATGTTTACTTTACCGTATATCATAGACACATATAAATATATGCCTCAACATATATAAATAGCCCTCACTTTCTTAACAATTGAATTGCGTTCCGTGGTAGGGGTCAGTCAGGGCCCCAGCAGGGACACTCAGCTGGGATTTTTTTGTTTTTTGTTTTTTTTGAGATGGAGTCTTGCTCTGTCACCCAGGCTGGATTGCAGTGGTGAGATCTCGGCTCACTGCAACCTCTACTTCCCAGGTTCAAGTGATTCTCCTGTCTTAGACTCCCAAGTAGCTGGGCTTACAGGTACCTGCCACCACGTCCAGCTAATTTTTGTATTTTTAGTAGACACAGGATTTCACCATGTTGGCCAGGCTGGTCTTGAACTCCTGACCTCCAGTGATTCATCTGCCTCGGCCTTCCAAAGTGCTGGGATTACAGGTGTGAGCCACCGTGTCCAGCCTTGGCTGGGATTTTTAAATGAGGAGACCATCTGAAGAGGTGTGGGCAGAGGAATGTTGAGGCCACCAGGTGCCAGCAACAGGGGAAAGCCATTTCCATCCCGGACCTGAAGCAGGAGGAAGAGGGAGCAGTTGCTGGGACCCAGTGAGAGCAGGAGAGGGACAGCTTGACAAGGACTGCGTCTGTAGAAGGACCCAGTCACAGCCAAAATGGCAGCAAAGTAGGGAGGGAGCTGGGGAATGAGCACCCCAACCTTCTCTCCTCCTGCCTTCTTATTTCCTACCAGGGCCTCCCACTAGCCAAACCCAAGTGAAAGCCAGAGAGCAAGGAAGCCTGGGAAATGTGGTCCACAGAGGTCAGCTTCCTGGGCACTGAGCAGGTGGAGAATGGTGCAAGAGAAGAGAAAAAGGAGAATGACCAACACAGCTTGAATACAAGATTGCTTATTTAACTAGTCCCTGGCATTGGAGGGGAATCAGGTCAAGGGAGCCTGTCCTTCTTGTGTTATTTCTCTCCACGGAGCATTGGCCACTGGGCATCGGCACATGGCTCAGGCCGCAGCCTTTGCTTTCTGGGAATCTGCTTTTGCACCCATTCTCCCCCTCCACGAAAGGCAGAACAGCCTCAAGTGCAAAGAGCTCCAACTTGCTGTGAGTGAACCCAGGTAGTAACCCTGGTTTTGCCCCTTTACAACCATGTGACCATGAGCCAACCACTTCTCTCCAGGCCTCAGTCTTTGCATCTGCAATATGGGAATACCAATCCCTGCCCAGTCCATTGTGAGGCCAATAATAATGAGATCTAGTAGATGCTGCACATTTACACAGTGCTTTACATGGATTAACTAATTTAATCCTCATCACATGTATGCAATGGCGCAATTATTAGAGCCATTGCATACATGATGAAAATGAGGCACAGAGAGGTAAAATAACTTGCCCAAGGTCACAGAGCTTGTAAGTGGCAGAGTTGAAATTCACACCCAGACAATCTGGCTCCAGATGGCTGTTAACCACTATGTTCTAGGCTCCTAACCACTATGCACCTAGCCACTGTGTTATGCTAGTGGTTTATTTATAAAGCATCCAACAACCAGGAGGTGTTTACTAATGGCAGTTGTTGACAGCATCGTGCCAGGATTGGACCTTGTAGCAGGTCACTCTAGCCACAGAATCCTGGACCTAACCACGGGCCAGCCTCCAGGAACACACCCTGCAGGTGTCCACCAGACAGTCCCATACCCCTTACTCCTAGTGCTGTTTAATACTTTCAGATGAATTCAGATTCTGTAGTTGTTTTTCTCCCTGCCTGGCAGCTGCAGTGGGCAACGCGGAGCTACCGAAGGACATTTTCTTTTGTTTCAGCTTTGATCCTGGGGATTTCGCATATCATTATGTATGTGGCTAAGGACCTGCCATTATCTTCCCCGGGATTCTTGCACAGTTAGTGAATTTCCTAAAGGATCCCGGCTCTCTGCCTGCTTCTGCTGTTAGGATAGGCTGCCCCAAGCTGCCCTCTGATTCCTCTGGGGGAGGGGAGGTACTTTCTTTTCTACAGTAATTTTTTAATACTCATCTTGATGTGTGAGTCTTTGGGAATCAGGAATTAATCTGGAACCTGTTTAAGTTTTTGCCTTATCTATGTACGTGTGTGTGTGTTTGTGGCAGAGGGTGTGCTAAGACCATGAAAAACAGCTTTTCACAAAAATATTTAAAACGTTAGTGCTTTAGTTCTTAAATCTAAGGCCATTGTCTGCTGACAAAGTCTGAATTTCCTGGCTTATTATCCTTCATTAAGGACCACCCATAATATTTCCCCAGCTAATTCTGTTTGGGGGTAAACACTTATCTGCTCAATTCATTATTGCTAAGTCTGAGATGGTTACAGATGCCTTTGGAGTAGAAGCCCCCACATCTAATAAGCACAGGCACACGATGCAGTTGGAATATGGTGGGGAGAGACGGCTGAAATTTATTTTGTGAATAAAGCAATAAGCCACTAGGCAAAGCTAATATGTTTCAGCCCAGACAGAAAGACACGATCATTCAGTATTTATGTAGCAACCCATTCCTCTGTGGGACTACAAGTTTCTACCATTAAAATTGTTGGAATTCTTCAGAGACCCACTGCATTAAGTCATGTAAAAATATCACAGACTTAAAACAATCTGAATTATTGGATTTTCTCGCTGCTCGTCGGTAAGCATGTTTGCTGTGGCAATTTCCTGCTGGGTCAAAGGTGCAGCCTACTTCAGTCAGGAAAGTAGAAAGTCCTGTGCCGAATTTTTATTTGGAAGCCAGTAGTCCCTAACAGGTGAAACAAAGTCAGACCTAGATTTATCTATTTTTTTCTTTTAATGCACTTTCAGATTCCTAGAAATCTTGCCAAGAAAGTAGAAGGAATTTCTGTGTACTAGTCACCTAGAATCTTCAAATGTTAACATTTTGCAACATTGCTTTATCACTGTGTCTAGGTAGACATATATAGATAAATAAATAGGTACATATTATTTTCATCTGCATTGCTTGAGAGTTGGAGACATGATGTCTGTCCCTTTATCCCTAAATACTTCAGTGTGTTCTCTAAAAACAAGGATATTTTGTTACATAGCCACAGTATAATAGTCAAAATCAGGAAATTAACATCGATATAACACTATTATCTGATCTATTGACTTTATTTTAAATTTGTCATTGGTTCTAATTCATCCACTTTATAGTAAAAGAAAATCCAGGATCGTACGTTATAATCACTTGTCAAGTCTCTTTAGTTTCCTTTAATTGGAAATAGTTCCTCCATTATTGTGTGTTTCATGTGCCACTGATGTTTTTGAAGTGAACAGGCTGTTTATTTTGTAGAATTTTCCCCTCCATTTGGGGTTGTCTGATATTTCTTCACAATTAGATTTAGATTATACCTCTTTGGCAGGAATACCACAGAAGTGATCTGTCCTTCAAGCACAACATATCAGGAGGTACACGATGTCAGTGCGTCCTGTTCCTGCAAAATCACACATAAGTTTAAAATAATTTTCTTCATCAAACCCTTGGCTTGTTAAACATTGCTTGGAAGGGTTTCACACGCACTCTAGTAGGACTTTAAAAAGCAGACCCAAAGACAAGGAAGCCACAAGCTTTACAGATGCTCAGGAGAAAAATGTAGCCATTTAAAAAATTGTAATGTGATAGTTATGAAATTTCCCTAAATTCATTTTGCAGAATGAGAGCTGTAATTTAAACCTGAAGTTATCGAGAGCTGAGATAAACCACACATCACGTGCAATTTAATCTGGCAGGGAAACAGGCCACTCGGAATTGCTAACTAGGCCTAATTCATTACATCTCGGTGAATGCAGTACTTTTGGTCTTACGCGTCTTTCAACTCCTGCATTAATATATTTACCCAGACCTCATGGAAAATGTATGGGAATGGAAACAGAAATACTGTATCCTTGTTTAAATCACATTTCATTTTTTAAACAGCTCAAATGATTGCTCAGAAAGATCACACCTTCTTCCGAAGCATTTATGAAACAATTATTTACATTACATTAAAAACTTTAATTGCCTCAAAGCACGTGCTCTGAGACACAAATATTGGAAAATCATCAAAAATATCCATCATGATTCTCTCTTCTTTATAACTCTTCTAAACTTTATCTTTTTTATAACCCACTGTATTGATCTATTGTCCCAGACCAAGAGTGATGTCAGAAGTCTAGGCTGGGTCATAAAAAGAATATAATTTCCATTTGCTGTCCATAAAAGCAAATCTTTTGATCAGAGAAAAAGGAAAAACATGTCCCCTTTTTTTGAGTGGGGAAGAGGGTGCGGTGCTATGTATCAGGGGAATAAGCCAGAGAGGAAGGGTGACCTCACCTTTAAGGGTGGTGGCAGGGATAGGCAAGGGGGTTGGTGATGGAGGGGGCTGGGAGTATGAGTTCCCCCTGGAGGTGACATCTCACCTCCAGGGGAAGTGGAAACAGAGGACCTCGAGCTTGCACAGAGGCAAAAACAAACAAACAAACAAACAAACAAACAAACAAAAAAGCAGACAGAAAAATGTAAAACAAGAAATCCAGTCACCCCGGTTGTCAAGAGTCCGAAGAATTGCAAAGGACCGGAACCTCCCTCTAGCCATGCTGAAGACCCTCTCCCCAAAGACAATCACAATAAAGGAATGTCATGTTGCAAAGAACGGAGCCCCGGATAATAATGATGATAACAACAGCAGAAACCTCCGAGGTTTTTAAGGATCCGGAGCCCCCACAGCAGGGGTAGGGCACCCTCAACAGTCATAACAATAAAACAAGCCCACTGGGGGAAAAGGCCCTCCAGAGGTTTGGTTCAGAACCAAATAACAAAACCTCCAATAATCATCATCACAGTAAAAGGGTTTCACCTTGCAAAGCTGTGGGGGAGTCCCTATAATTGGGTTAAAGACCCCCCAGATAATAACAACAGAAATCCCTATTCCAAAGGACCTGAGGCCCCGCCCTCGGCCCCCGCCCGTAAAGAACCCTGAGCTACTACTCAGACGAAGCCCCCCTCCCCGCCAATAATAATAATATAATGGCGCGGAAACTGTGGGCGGTGGTGGTGACATTTCCCACGACTCAGTGGCGCCCCCGGGCGGCTCCCACCCTCCCTCCGGCCGGCGCGTCTACGCAGCCCCAAGTGCTGGCTGCGACCCTCGGATCCCAAGCATATCTGGCGATGGAGCGGCGGCAGCCCGAGGCACGTGTTGTGTGTGCTCCGATTGCAAAAGAAAAAAAAATGCATTTCAAACTATTAACTTTTTTTTAAGCGTGCAATGCCGGGAGCTGGGGGTAGACAGGTGCAAGCGGGGGTAGGCGCCCCGCGCGCCCGCCTCCCGCAGCGCCCCCTCCCAAACTTCCCTTTGCATTGATCAGCACGTTACGTCAGTATTGATAAGTTTGCAAAAAGCCAAAGTCAAGTGCAATCGCGCGGCACACCGACCCCGGACTTGGGGGGGAGATGCAGCGAGCGCTCCGCGGGCCCGGGAGCCGGCGGCAGGCAGGGCAGCGGCGGCGCCGGCGCCTCTCGGAGAGGCTGCCTCCCCCCAACCCCTCCCCTCCCACCCCATCCCCGGCTGCCTCCCCCGGGCGGGCGCCGAGCTCCCCGCCCGGCGCGCTCCGCCCGCGCCCTCCGGGGGTCGGGGGGGCGCACGGCTCCCGGGCCCGTTGGCGGCGGCGGCGGCGGCGGCGCGGCGGCGGCGAGGGGCAGCGGGTGGCAGGAGGCCGGAGGGCGCCCGAGGGGCCCCGGGCCGCGGCGCTCAGGGCCCGGGCGGCCGGCGGCGGCCCCGGGGCTGGGGGGAGTCCAGCCCGGATATTGAGTGCAGCCATTGAGAAAAGCCAAACTCTTGTGTGTGCGCGTCTCGATAGCCCCCAAGATGGCCGCCAATGTGGGATCGATGTTTCAATATTGGAAGCGATTTGATCTACGGCGACTCCAGGTTAGTGCGGGCAGCGCCGGCCGCGCGGCCGTGAGGAGCCCCCGGGCGCGCCCTGGGCGCATTGGGGAGGTCCCCGGGCGGGCAGGCGGACGCCCTGGGGCGGCGGGCGGCGGCTGCCGGGGCTCGCCGGGGCTCGGCCGCCCGCTGCCCATCGATAGGTATTAGGAATTGATCTCGCCGCTGCTCTTTGTTCGGTTCAGTCATCGATTAGCTGCCGCGACCATGGAGAAGCGCTAGTGAGCCCTCGGTCGGCGGAGCGGCCGAGCGGCCAGGCGGCCGGGCGAGGAGCGGGGAAGGCAGGGGCTACGGCCTCGGGCAGGGGGCTGCTGGCGGGAACCCCCGGCGGTCCCCCCTGAGCCGCACTTTGCGCGCCTCCCAACTTCGCGGCGCCCGGGGAGGCCGCGGAGCGCGCCGCTTGCCAGTCCGCACCCGGCTGGGGCTCCGGCGAGGGAGGGAGGGAGCTGGCGGGCAGGGAGGAGGAGGAGGAGAGGAGGAGGAGGAGGAGAGAGGAGGAGGGAGCCGGGGTTGGCGAGGAGGCGGCTCCGCGCCCCGCCGCTCGCCGGCACCTCAGCCTTCGCCGCCCGCCTGGCTGCGCAGCCCGGACGCGCCGCCACCCGGGGGCCGCCGCCGCCGCCGCCAGAGCCGCCGCCGCCGGACTGGCCGCAAGCGCCGGCAGACCTCTTCTCCTCGGGCCGGGGTCTTGGGGTTCGTCTTGCTTCTTGCCTTTACCCCCCCGCCCCTTCCATCCCCTTCCCAAGTCTAGATGCAGACGGGCGGTGGAGGTGGGCCCGGGCGCTCGCAAGTTTGCGCTCCTGCCTCCAGGGCGGTGGAGAGCCGGGAGCGGCGCAGAGCAGGTGACTCCCAGCCCTCGGGCCCAAGGGAACTTTTAAATGAGAGATTTCCTTGCTTGTTCTGCCTCCTGCGTTTCTCCCCGCTGCTCCCCTCGTCTCCTCTCTCCCGTCTCTGCTTTTCTTCTGTTTCTTTCCTCTCTTCCCTGCTCTTTCTCTCTCCTTCCCTAGGGCGACTCTTCGAAACCCCATCACTTTCTCCCCATCCTCCCTTTGTGGGAGTCTGTGTGCCTCCCCTAGATTTGGAGGTGTTCTCTGCGGACCCCGTAGGAGCCGGGGCTGGGAGGTGGAATCTCAGAGAACGCACCGTGGAGGCGCGGCTCCGGCCTCTGTTCTTTCCCGGAGTGCCCCGGACGCGCCTGGCAAGGCCCCCCAGCCTTGGAGTCTCGCAAAGTCTCGGCGGGTGCGGCGGGGATCAGGGGCGGGAAAATGGTGCGGATAACAGGGCGGTTAGAGCATCCTGCCTTGACCGTGACATTCGCGGAAGACGCGAGATCATCAGTCTGGAGATAAAAAGGGACCCACTTTTTTTTTTTTTTTTAATCCGCCGGCAAATCTCGTTAAGTTTCTTCTGATAAGTGGTTCCAGCACCCGCGCCTTCTCCCCGTCCTGGCCGCTTCCCAGTCCCCGTCCTTCCGAACGCCCCACTCCTCGCTCTCCCCCTCCCCCAAAGCCATTGAGCTGGGGAGAAAATCGGGGCACTGAGGCATGCAGTTAATAACTGCCGAGTGCCTTGCAATTCCGGGTCCGCACTCGAGTTGGGGCTACAGTTTGGTGGCCAACTGAGACGGGCAGGGCTGCGAGCTGTGCCTGCCGGCTTAAATGATGCTAAAGTGGCCTTTCTGGAAGAGTGGGGGTTATGGAGGCAGAGAGAGAGAGAGAGAGGGAGAATTGGGCAGCCACATTGGGCTTGGCACGAAGGCCAATGGTAATCGTATTCCCTGCTAATGTTTGTAAATGAGACCCGGGCACGGCTGGGGGACAGCGTCTTTATTTATGATTGATGTTCTGTAACATAAGGAATGACAAGAACGTGGCACACAAGAGGAGAGGAACCAGAAGGGCTGGCGAAAGCCCTTTGCAGGGTCCTATTGTTATTCTGGGCTGGAGAAAATTTCCGCGGCGAGATTTACAGCGCTGGTATTTGCTCCCGGTCGGCCGGAATGTCAGTTAACACAATTTTCATTAGATAACTCGTTTTCAATCCGGGGAGCTCGGGCTGCAGCCCGGGGAGAGGCAGGGGCTGGGTGCTGAGGGGAGGGTGCGGCTCCCAGGGGGCTAATGTCTGAACTAGGGAGGTTGGAACCTCACTGTCTTCAGTCTTCTACCCAAGGGGTCTTTTGTGGAACGGTTGAGGTCACCCAAATCTTGATTCCAGCTGGACGCCCATTAATCTGGGAACCCTTTGTTAGGGTTTTAGAAGATGCATAGATGGAAAGCAAATTTGAACTGGAAAGGATAAAGGTAGGGGGTGGTGGAGGGGTTTGTTCAGGTGATGGGGAGATAGGACCCAGACCTCCCAGCCTACAGGGTGTATATGTGAAGGGGGGGGTTGTTCGTTAAAACAATGGCTAGTGTGTCTGGCACACAGGAGAAGGCTCTCAGGGAAGGGGGGTAAACTCATTTACATCGATATTAAGTGGAGGGGGTGTCCCTGTGGGAGTTTGCAAGGCAGCACACTTCTAGAAAGCAAAGAAATAAACGTGGCAGCCGTGGCCGCGTGCAAACATTTTGGCCCTCCATCTGCCGCGTTCCCCACCCCCAGCCTGAAATCTTCAGCTGGTCCCCTGGCCAACAGGCCCGCAGCCCCCCACCCCCACCCCACCCCATATCCTCACTGATGGCATTTTTGTTGGAAGTGGATTAGGAGCCTAAGCACTTTGGCCTGGGATCCTCTCTTGTACATAATGCCAGTGACTCCTACGACACACTTTTATTTTCATTTTTTGCCCCTCCCCTACTTTCCTCTTATAGGGGAGATAGCCAGAAAGGAGAACTTCTGCCGGCTTTTTCTGAGATCCAGGTAGGAGAGGCAGGTCCCCGTGCCCAGCCCCAGGCAGCCGGAGAGCCGGGGTCCCGCGTCCCGAGGCTGAGCTGCCTGTGATGTGAGGAGGTGCGTGGCTTTCATTCCTGGCTGTTCAGGTTGAATGGTTTCTCGCAGCGTGGTTGCTGAGCATTAAAGTGGCCGAGGCAACATGGGCGGCCCCGTGTCCCCAGGCCATACCACGTCGCTGACGCCATACCGATCCTGGCAAGAAAGGTGACCTTGTACCAGCCCGGTGTCCAGCCCTCCGGAAACGTATATTTTTCAAAAATGGAAGCGTTCCAGTTATTATTCCTTCCAGCGCCGTCTCTGTACACAGCAGGGCTGTTTTCCTAGGCTGGAAGTCAGTCAACAACCTTAATGACTTTGGGCCGATGGTAAAGGTGATCTGACATGTGCCACCCTACTCCGGCACTCCTGAAACTACCTCCCCCCGTCTTTGCTTCTTTTTTGCCTTTGCTGCTAGCAGCTCAGGAAACGAGAAGAAATAAAATTCCATCCAAAGATAATGCTAGGCATATTTCATTTGGTTATAAGATTGCTTTATGGTGAACATTACTAATGCAGTATTTTTTTATGGCTTTTCTGTGTATAATCGTCGTAACCGGATTCATACCTTTATGATTTTCTTTTTCTGCTTAACTTTCTACTTTTTTTTTTTACCATGCTCTGGGTCCAGTCTCCCATGCTGTCTTCCCTGACTCCAAAGAGGGTTAATTGAGCTAACAATGAGCTGGGGGGCACCCAGTCCAAATGAGGGTCCTCGGTCCAAATGCCCATCTGTGTTTCTGGGGAGAAAGGAGCTTGGTCAATAGGATTACATAGTACTAATCTGGGAGGAAGGGGCAAATTCTGCTTCGGGTGTCAGCAGTTGGGAGAAAGATCAACAGGATGAGCAAAGAGAGGCCGGACTTTTCCAAGGAGTTTGGAGAAACTTCCGGGAACACTCAATCTCCTGGCGCAGGAGAGCAAGATGGTGCTTGATGGAATATTTTCCCCTGCTCAAAGTTTAGAAAAGAGCAGGGATGTGATTAAAATATTATAACCTTATGATATTCTGAAGTGCATAAATTTTACATATCAGCCACAGAGAGTTTAGACATCCATTAGAGCCTCTGACAGCTTGACTTATCTAAATGTGCTATCATTTAACAATGTGTCAAAATTCCTCTTTCTATAGATGACAGCAGTAAATAAGCTATCAGCCCTGTTGGCGGAATCCTAACTTTGGAAACTTCACCATAATAGAATTGCTGCCGAGGTCCAATTGCAGCCGAGGTGGGGAGCGTGAGCCCGCAGAGCTTGGCATGGCTCAGCCCCCTGAGAGGGGTTGGCATTAGGTGAAGACAGCTCTGAGAATAAGACAAACCCTTGGACTCTCTTCTAACTCCAGCCAGTGGGTGACCCCATTCCCTCTGCCTCTCCAAGTCCGTAGAACCCACACCCTGTGGCCCTTTTCTGCAGAAAGAGCTAGAAACAGGTGTTGAGAATTTATTTAAAGAACCCAGCAGCCTTTTCTGGGTCTCCCAAAATTGTAGTTTCTCAACTTGACAGAGATTGCTTCTCAAAAACGGGCTCTCTCTTTGAATGCTAGAAGAAAAAACAAGCAACATCTCATCCCTCACTGGTTTTACTGTTGGGGGTCTTGAAATTTCTTTTATTAATACTTGAATTCACTGTAGAAAATGGAGAAACCACGGACCAGCTAAAAGAAGCAAATAAGTGTCTCGGTGGGTTATTTCAGATGAGCACGGTGCTATTTTGACCAGAGGGAACAGCTTTTCTGATGGTGGTGGTGGTTTTTCTTTCTTTTACTTTTTTCCTTATTTTTTTTTTTAAACTCTCCTGTTAAAAAGAGGATTCTATCTTCGAACTTGACATTCTGTCATGGTAACCTTTCTTCCGGCAGATGGGATTTCAAACGTGAGCACCTTGGCTAGTGCTAAATATATGGTCCTGGATGATGGTAGACAAGGCTGCCCAGAAACTGTGGTTTTCTGTGCTGCTTCTGAAAGGGCTGAATTTCCGGTGGCTTCCTGGCTATCTAATTCAAAGGCCGGGCCTGGCAGAGGTGAAGCATTGGAAGGGGACTCAGGTGGTGACCTGCCTTTGTTCCTGGCCTTGGGATTCAGGGTCCCATCTTCTGTTTGATATTTTTCCTCTGGGGGTGCTCATTATTTATGATGGTGTCATATACTGGAGGGTGTCAGGGATGGTAGAGGTTGGCAGGGGGGAAGGACCCCAAGAACTGTATTCTGTGTGGCCTTTAGTGCTCCTGGGTGAATCATCCCACATCCCAAGTCTCCTGCTTCTTAACCCTTGAAGTCAGCTGGCTGTGCCCAACTTTGCTGTACGAGTTATTGTAAAGGTGAAGGATGCTGACACCTTTGTGGGTCACTTAAATGCATTGTCTTCTTCTTTTTTGTTTTTTCAAGATGGAGTCTCGCTCTGCCACCCAGGCTGGAGTGCAGTGGTGCAATCTCAGCTCACTGCAACCTCCGCCTCCCGGGTTCACGTGATTCCCAAGTAGTTGGAACTATAGGCGCATGCCACCACGCCTGGCTAATTTTTGTATTTTTAGTAGAGACGGGGTTTTGCAGTGTTGACCAGGCTGGTCTTGAAGTCCTGACCTCAAATGATCCACCAGCCTCGGCCTCTTAAAGTGCTGGGATTACAAGTGTGATGACCTTGGGCCCCTCCCCTTCTTTCTCCATCATGGTCGTGGTGGTGGGGCTATTGACCTTTTAAGCAATATTTTTGAAACAAAAAATTATGTCTAGGATGGAGTTATTTGGTTTCTAAGCCTCAGTGAGCCCTTCACCAAAATGGCTTGTAGTGTTTTGGAGGATGTAGACATTATATTCCTATCATGGCCCAGGCGAGGTGGCTCATGCCTATAATCCCAGCACTTTGGCAGGCTGAGGTGGGAGGATTGCTTGAGGCCAGGAGTTTGAGACCAGCCTGGGCAACATAGTGATACCCCTTCTCTACAAAAAATAAAAAAATTAGCTGGACATGGTGGCACCTGCCTGCAGTCCCAGATACTCAGGAGGCTGAGGTGGGAGGATTGCTTGAGCCCAGGAGGTGGAGGCTGCACTGAGCTATGATCATACCATTGCACTCCAGCCTGAGCAACTGAGCAAGACCCTGTTTAAAAAAAAAAAACGGAAAAAAATATACTCCTATCATGTTTAGATTAAAATTCAAATTTTTTTTCCCTGACAGATCCCCCAGGATCTGCCCCATTCTCTCAATCTCTCTGGCTCCCTCTCCAACCACTGTACCGCAGCGGCCTTCTCTTTGTCCCACAAACACATCAAGCATGTCCCCACCTCAGGGCCTTTGCATGTATGCTTTCCTCTGCCTGCGACCCTTTCCCTCCCATCTCTCTGTGGTTGGCTCCTTCATCTCTTTCATTCTGAGCCCAAATGTCGTGACCACTCAGCCTAAAGAAAACTAAAGAAGCTTCCACCACTGTTTCCCCACTGTAATATGCAGATGTGCTCCCATATTGCTAAGGACACCCCAGAGGGTTTTGACCATAGAACCCTCTCAGGGTATGGTCTCTCTCTACACATGCTAGGTTTACCATCAGATGGGGCCAACCTTTTTCTATAGAGTTGGATAATAATACACTGGGCTTCGTGGACCATAAGCCTCCACTCTGCCATTAGCATGAAACAGCCACAATGAGAATGAATGGACGTGGCTGTGTTCCAATAAAACTTTATTTATACAAACAGGCAGGGGGCCGGTTTTGGCCTGAGAGCTGTAGTTTGCCTGCCCTGGGTCTACTGGTCTATGTCATGGCTGTCATATATAGGCTGTGGCATGGCTGAAATTTTAACTTTTCAGTTAAGAGTATTAAAGTGGATCAAACTCAGTTCCCAAAACTTGTTCTTGACCCTTTCCCTCCAGAGAGAAGCATGAAGAGTCAGAGCAGTGAGAGGCCCCTGCCTGGCTTCAAATCCTGGCTCCATCACCTACTAGCTGTGTGACCTTGGATGAGTCACTTAACCTCTCCAAGCCTTACTTTCTTTGTCTTTAAATGGGACTAATAATAGTCTCCGCCTTCTAGGTTGTTCAGGAAGATCAAACCACTTTGAACATGAAAGTGTTTAGCACAGTGTGGGGCACACAGTTGCTGCCCTGTGAATCTGAGTGACTTCCTATTGTCATTGGTATTTTTAGAGTATGAGAGGAGAAAACCAAATAAACAGCAGCGGCTGGAACTTGCTGGCCTTGCAGGCTGTTTTAGAGATTTCTGAGCAAGTTTTCTCTTCTCTCTTACTCCTTTGGGGTTACTATATTAGTATTGTACTAATATTATATGTAGTATATTTTGGGAGTTCTGACCACAGAAATTGCAGACGGGGAGCTATGTCTGGCCCATGGATGTGTCTGTCTAGATTAGTGAGATATTTAAAAACACTTTTGTGTAAGTTGTCAGCATTTAAAACACAAGAGATTTACCTAAGAAATCTAGGTGACCAGTGTCCCCTGAAAATCAGGAGCTCTGGCCACTGTGGGCAGGTCCAATGGAGAAGGGGAGTGGAGACCTGGGAGGGACATTTCCAGGCAGAGGGAACACCCAGTGCCAGGGCCCTGTGCCAGGGGTCCTCAGTGGGTCAGGCCAGCTGTCGGAGTCCTGAGGAGGGTCTTCTCTGTAGTTCAAGGCCACAGGCCGCACCTTCCCAGTGCCTAGTTCCAGAAGAGGCTGCATTTCCAGAACAAATGAAAGGCTCCTGACCAATGCATGAAGATACCCGGTTAGTAGGGTTCAGAGCCTGCTGTCTCTGCTTCTTCCCAGGAGCCCACACCCCCAAAAGTGGGCCTGTGGCTGTCCCCCGAAACCCCTCCGGAGCACACCCCAGCCTCTGCCAGTCTTCAGTTCAGCCCAATGAAACAGCAGTTCCAGGATATGCATTTGCCATTAAAAACAAAGAAAGAAAGAAAGAAATCAATCCTTCGGCCTCTTTGGCCTGAGCTGGTCGTCTGCCCAGAGACGCTGGGGGGCCCAACGGTGCTTAAGACTCTGTGAGCCGCCGTCGCTCAAGCTGGACGGGGTAAATGGCTCCCGGGGAACCATTATGGTCGATTGACTTGCCCAGCCGCCGGTGTGGACTGTGGGTGTTGCGGATCCGGAGACCACAGGGGTCACAGGGGCCGCCAGTCCAGGGCAGATTTCCCTGAGTGGGGCCATCACTCCTAGGCCTTGCTGCTACAGATGCCTGTGAGTGTCTGTCATCTGCTACGAGTGTCTATGGGTGCGGGTGTCCCAGGGGATGTGGTGTGAGCTGCGGAATCAAGCCCTACACCCTCCACCCCCAAAGACTACCTGGACTCTGGAGCCAGCAGGCCTCGGTTCAAATCCCAGCTCTGCCACTTACCAGCTGTGTGACCTTGGATGAGTCAATTAACCTTTCTGAGCCTCACTTTTCTCATATATAAAATGGGGATAATAGTAGTAGCCACCTCCTTAAGAATTGTTGTGAGGACTTTTATTATTATTTTTTTGAGACGAGGTCTCAGTCTGTCACCCAGGCTGGAGTGCAACGGTGCCATCAGGGCTCACTGCAGCCTCAACCTTCTAGGCTCAGATGATCCTCCCATCTCAGCCTCCCAAGTAGCTGGGATTATAGGTGCACCGCCACCACGCCTGGCTTTTTTTTTTTTTTTTAACGTAGAAGTGGAGGTCTCACCATGCTACCCAGGCTAGTCTCGAACTCCTAAGCTCAAGTGATTCTCCCAACTCAACCTCTCAAAGTGCTGGGATTACAGGTGTGAGCCACCGTGCCCAGCCTGTTTTGAGGATTAAGTGAGTTAATGCATATGAAGCGCTGAGATCCATGCCCAGCACATTGAAACATGATATAATGTTAAAGTGAATAATAATTGCTGTTATCCTTCACTCCAGAACTGTACATTCACCACTTACGGTATAAATAATTATATATAAAAAACAAATACAATAACTAATAATTACATATTAAAGATGATATAGTAAGCAAGGAAGGCAAGGTGCCAGCTCTCTCAGAGCCCACAGGCCATGGGACGAGTGGATGCACATGCCATTTCACAGACGGGCAAGGGGAGTAGATTCCGAGACAGTATATGGCAAAGGAATTGCCTGGGTCTGGACCTCAGGGGATGCTTCCTGGAAGAAATGACCCTTCTGTTGAGATCTCAAGGACAAGGTTAGGGAAAAGCATCTCAGAAGAGGGAACAGCATTTGCAGAGACCCCGAGAAGGGTGGAAGAATTGTGCCTCCAAGGAACTGAAGAAAGCAGTATGGCCGGGAGAAGATTCTGAGCAGGTTACTGGGCCTGTCTCATTCTCACTTTTGCCACCTGCCAATGAGGAGTAGGGATGGAGGATATAATACGACACTGCATGGTGGCCGGGTGCGGTGGCTCATGCCTGTAATCCCAGCACTTTGGGAGGATGAGGCGGGCAGATAATTTGAGGTCAGGCATTTGAGACCAGCCTGGCCAACATGGTGAAACCCCTTCCCTACTAAAAATACAAGAATTAGCCAGGCGCGGTGGCTCACGCCTGTAATCCCAGCACTCCGGGAGGTACCATTGCTATACCCATCTTCCAGATGAGAAGACTATGCCTCTGAAAGGGGAAATAAGTTGCCCAAGGACACATATCTAGGAAGAAAGAAGTAGAGCTAGGATTTGAATCCTAGTTGCCCTGTACATACTCACGAGACAGAAATGGTAGTAGGAGAAAGGGCATTCCATGAGAATGCATCTTGCCCATCTTCGACTTCAGGGAGCGTGATAGGACCCGTGCTGCGCTGGAAATCCATCCCATAGCTGGCCCAGCCAGGGGCAGAGTGCAGCAGAAATTCTGGCACAGACTCGTACCTGGGACACACGGGACCCCTCTGCTAACTCCATGGTAGTCTAGGAGCTTCCGTCAACCAAACAACCTTCCTCCTGTCCTTCTGTCCTCTCTCCTTCACACTGGCTCCCTCCGGCAGGTGCAGGTGTTGACCCTTACAAATCTCTTTGCCATATGACCCTGCCTTCAAGTCTGTTTCTTGTCCCACAGGAAAGAAGAAATGGGATTGGGACATCTGCATAAGGCTCTCAGGGTGTAGGAGACGCTCCGTTGAGGTCGCTGTCATGTCTTGGGGGAGGCTGGGGAGCTGTCACTCCCAGCACTGTCTCTTTCCTGGTTGCCTGTCCTTACTTGCCCTCAGGTTTTAGGATCCCCTCATCCTATCCCCCTCCCGTCCCCTGTCATTCTCCCCCTCTTTATTCAAGCCCCTGTGGCCTCCTTGCTGTGCCTCAAACAAGCCAAGCAGGTCCCAGCTTCAGGGTTTTGGCACTTACTGTTCCCTCTCTCTGAGACAATTTCCAAACACCTCCCTTCAGTTAGTTTGGTCCTTTGCTTGAATACCACCTCCTCAGAGAAGTCCTCCTTGACTTCTCTTTCCAAATCAGCTCCCCTCTCCTCACTCTGCCTCACCTGATGTGATAATATTTATTTGTGTATTTATTTGTTCATTTGTTTACTGTCTGCCTCCCTCTCTGGGGAGGGCAGGGACATAGTAAGTGCTCAATAAATATTTGATTGATGGGTGGCTGAATCCACAGGAGGGATGAGGTAGGGGGCAGTTGCCCCTCGACTTCACCTTGAGGGGCAGTCTTGGGGGACCCTTGGCTGCTACACCCCTCACTGGCTCTTGAAAGTTGCTGGGAATTGGGCACCGGCCTCAGGCCTGTGGCGAATGAGGGTTTGTTTACCTTTAGCTCCATCAGTCTCGCCTTAGGGTGACCTCAGTTCCAACCTGGGAGGCAGCTCCCATCTAATTAGTATATCTATTTATTAATTGCTGGAAGGCTGCAGGCCATAAGCGATGATTTGGTGGCCTCAGCCATAGAGAGCTGAAAGCATCCCTACAGCCTGTGAGATGGCTGTCATCCAGGACACAAGACAGCCAGTTAATGTCCTCGGACCCGGCTGACATTCCTGACACTGATTCCCAGGCCCACTGGATCATCCCAGCAGGCATGAGAAAGCGGCCTGGGTCTCTGGACAGTGATCCCAGGGTTGAAGGGCTTTCTTTCCCACCATGCGCAGGGACCCCTCGTTTATAATCGGGGGGAGACCCATCTTTCCTTCTTTGGCTGGGCCCCAGTTTTTCTATCTAGAATGGAGCATCCCTGGTTTGTTGAGACAGGTCATTTATTCATTTGATGAGCATTATTCAGCCCCAGCTATGTGTCCCAAGCTGCCTGAGGTGTTGGGAGTGTAGCACAGAACAAAACAGACCAAGTCCTGCCCTCATAAAGCTTCTACTTCATAATCATTTGGAGGTAGAACTACTTTTCTTCAAGGATCGTGAGAAGTAGAAAGTGACAGCTCCATATAGACACTTGGCCTAGGGCTGGGCATGTTGTGAGCCTTTCCTAATGGTGATTATTATTGCTATTTATTATCTTTATTAGCAATTGTTATTATTATCTTTCTTAAAATGGGAGGGCATTTCCTGTTGAATTTCAGTTGCCTTGGGAGCTGCACCTGCAATGATGGGCGCTGGGCTCGGAGCAGTCAGATCTTGCTTCAGACCCCGGTCTTGCCACTTCCTCACTGAGAGGCTTTCGGCAACTCCCCAGTTTTGTAAGCCTCAGCTTCCTCATCTGTAAAATGGGACTGAAACACAGCCCCTACCTCATAGGGACATTGAGAATATTTGATTTGATGCAGAGCCCATAACACACACTTGGGACACCATCATTCCCCAGTAAACAGGAGTGACTAGTATTACCTTTATTATTATTGCCATCGTTGTTTGTCATTCACCTCCAGGCCCTCACTGCTCAGCTCAGTGGTGCCCAAATCTGGGTGGAGCCTAGAGATTCGTTTGCAGTATTAGCTGCTCAGGTATCAGATGAGAGAAGCTCACCTGAACTCCAGCCAGGTGCAGGAACCCCCACCACACCCTGTAAGGACAGGAATCTAACCTGGGTCTTCCTCCCAGCCCGGCCCACCCGGAGCCAGCAGCCAGCAGCCAGGTGCGCTGGCTCTTTGCAGAGAAGCTTGGGACAGGAGGTCAGGCCTCCCTGCATGCCGCTTGGCAGGGCTTAGCAAGGCTGGGCCTGGCTTTGTGGTTCAGAAGACAGCTTGCGGAGAGACCAGTGCAGGCCTGGGATTTCTTTAACAAATGGCGCCTGCACTCTTACTGCCATGCAAGCCAGTGTTCACAGCCCTTTGTATTGTCTTATTTTTAATTCCCACAGCAACTTTATGAAGGGAAAACGATGACCATTCCCATTTTACAGATGAACAGAGTGAGGCACAGAAGGCTCAGTCCCTGGCTACATTGCCAGGAAGCGGCCCAGCCTGGACTTGAACCCAAGACCCAGGGCTGTTGGCCACCCGTGTTCCTGCTCTGGACTCACTAATGGCCAAAGCTGCCCCTCCCAGGACTGATGGCTGTCTCACGCCACTGCCGAGGTCCCCCCATCTACAATCACTATGTCAGTATTTTTCTCTTTATGCTTTATTTTTATTTATTTTTTTTTGAGACAGAGTCTGGCTCTGTCGCCCAGGCTGGAGTGCAGTGGCGCAATCTCGGCTTACTGCAACCTCTGCCTCCCAGGTTCAAGCAATTCGCCTGCCTCAGCCTCCTAAGTAGCTGGGATTACAAGCGTGTGCCACTACGCCTGGCTGATTTTTGTATTTTCAGTAGAGACGGGGTTTCACCACGTCGGCCAGGCTGGTCTTGAATTCGTGACCTCATGTGATCTGCCTGCCTCGGCCTCCCACAGTGCTGGGATTGCAGGCGTGAGCCACCACGCCCGGCCCCTTGCTGTTCTTTTTAAAAACCTCTGAAGATACCTTGCCACTGTCAACTCATGGAAATGGATTTGGGCCCCAAAGCCTGAGAAGCATGGGTCAGGGGAAGGTGAGAGAAAGCTCCCGGTTCCCAGCGTGTCTCCCAGCCTGGAGAATGAGCACCACCCGGCCATCCATCCCCGGCCCCCGCTGGGTCCCGGAGCCGCGTGGCGCGCCCTGTCGTCCGGCCTGCATTCCGCGAGATGGAATTCTCGGCTGGGGCTGATAATAAGCAGGTATTGATTGCTGCCGTGGTCATTATCAAGATTTATTTAGTCAATATGGCCTCCCCGGTCAATAAATCGTGTCGTTGATAAAGAAGGAAGGAGATAGACTTGTAGCCTTTATTAAAAAAGTTTTTTAGATTTTTTTTTTAAAGCCAAGTCCAGCCCTCCTTTCTGTGGCTGTACCAGCCACACTCTACAGTTCGCGTTTTTACCTTATAAGCTCTTTCTTTCCATGGCAGACCTTATACTCATTGCTCTGACTCCAAGAAGCAAGGACTTGGGGCTGGGGCTAGGGCTGGAGAATGGTCCCTGACCTTTGTTCTTTCATTGAATCCTCCCAGCATCCCTTGGGGCAGGCTCTGGTGTCACCCTATTTTGCAGCTGAGGCTACTGAGGCCCAGGGAGGTTCATTTACTAGCCCAAGGTCACACAAGACTCGAACCCAGACAGTCTGGCCAGAGTCTTTGCTCTGAATCTGACATTCATCCATCAAATAGCAGGTATTTCTTGAGCACGTGCTATAGGCCCCGCACAATGCCAGCTGCTGGGTGTGGAAGGGCAAGCTAAACAAATAAATGTGTAATGACAGAAATAGAAAGAATGGAGGAAAGAGCGCTGAAATCACATGGAGGGGCCGCCTGTTTATTTAGGGTGATGATGGAGGCCCACACTGGGTAGGTGACATTTAGGCTGAGACCTGAACCATGAAGAGGAGCTGTGCAGGCACAGTTCAGGCAGGGGAGCTCACAGCTCCAGGAGGAGCCTGTGCAAAGGCCCTGAGGTGGGACTCAGCTTGTAAAGTCCTGGAACCAAAGGGAGGCCAGTGAGGCTAGAGAGGGGAGAAGAGGGGAGGGAGAGAAGTCACAGGGGGAGGTGGTTACTGCTCACGCAGGCCCTTTTAGACCACGGTAGTGGCTGGATTCCTTTGAATTCTATTATCATGGAAGTGGGAAGATACTGAGGGTCTAAAACGGGAGAAACGAGATCCAATTTATGTTTGGCTCCCGCTGGGTTCAGCCTGATAGGAAACATTGAAGGGAGGGAGGGGACGTTTGGAAAATAGGCAAAGGACAGCATCTGTGATGAACTGGATGTTGTCATCTCTGCCCAGAGAGGAGTTCTTCGTGGCAGGAAGCCTTTGGGCACGCAAACGTTTCGAGGACTAGCACTCTACAGCATTGTGGGAGTGGAGAGATTGCCATGGGAACATGCCTGGTACCCCCAGCAAGGTGGGAGCTGTGCTTCCTTGGTAAGCGTATGGCTGGTTTTCTGTGTGAGTGGCCAGCTGGTGTGGATTTGTAGGCTTTTAGCGGCAGGCATGCAGTGGGCAAGGGGCGCCTTCTCTCCTGGACATAGAGCTGGTGCAAGGAGGGTCATGGGGGATTGGGTTATGTTCTGAGAAGGGCCCTTTGCCCAGTGGTCTCTGTGGGCATTATTACCAGTGTGTTTCCAGGTGCCACTTGTTAGGAAAGGCCATAAAAAGATGAGGTGACTAAGACGGCGTGGCTGTAGAGCCCGGGCCACATGCAGGTATTCTGTCCCAGGGGGTCGTGTGCTGACTTTCATATATGGGGATGCTGTTAGGTGTAAGAGAGGTTGAATGTCTACCTGGGGGACTGCAGGGGATGTGGGCTGGAGTATGGAATAAAGAGAACTTTTTCACCTTTTAGTTTTGTCTAATCTATGAGCACCTGTGGACTGGAAGTAGCAGGGGTTGGGGGATCACCTCTTTATCATCCATCATCCACTCATCCACCACCCACCCAACATTGTCTTATCTACTCATTCATAAATCTGCTCTCTCATCCACTGTATCCATCCACCTAACACTTTATCCAGCTGTACTTCCCCATTTCTTACTGATCTTAACTATCCATCCATCTGTCCACTCATCCATCCATCCCATGAATCCATCCATCTATCCATCCATGAATCCTTCCATCCATCCATTCATGAATTCATCCATCCATCCATCCATCCATGAATTCATCCATCCACGAATTCATCCATCCATCCATCCACCCATCCACGAATTCCTCCACCCATCCACCCACCCATTCATCTATCCATTCATCCACTTAGCCACCCAGCAACCTTCTCATCCACCCATCCACATATTTGTGCATCCAACAAAAATCCCTTCCTCCATGCATGCATCCATCCAACATCTACTCAGCCAACACTAGGAATGTAAAGATGAAAAGAAAGCAGTCCCTGTTCTTAAGAATGCTTTAGATTGGTGGAGGAGTCAACTGTAGTGAAATAACCCCAAAATGACATAATTAGCACAGTAATCAGAGGCTGTACACAGAGCTGTGGGGAACAAGAGGGGAGACAAACACTGGCCCTGCAGGCCTGTGAGGTTGGTGAGGGCTGCTGGAGAGGGTTCTAGACTTGAGACGTGTAGTTCTCCCCTCCTTCCCCATCTGGATTCAGTGATGTTCTCTAGCCTAGGTAGAGGGTGGGTGGTCTCAGAAGGCAGCCTGCCTTCAAGGAGACACCACAGGAACCATGGTCACCAAACCCTGGATGGGCCCAGGAAGGACCAAGCTCTGTCCTGTAGCAGATTGGAGCCCAGCAAGGTCTTTTTGAGAGAGACTTTTTTGGGCAAGGGGGATGGTCTGTGACCAAGGAGGTGGACAAGGCAGATCATCAGGTCTGCCACTAGGACAGGGGCTCCCTGGTTTTACTGTTCAGTGCAGATTAGCAGCCCCTAACCTCTGCATGGTGCTTGGAGCCTGTCAGAAATGGTTCCACCCACCTATGCTGTTGGACCACCTCCCATTCTGCAGAGGAGGAAACTGAGGCAAAAGGGTATATGAAGGAAGGCAGGGCAGAGAAACCCTTCACCTACATCCTCCTCTCCTGCTCAGCCACATTTATAGAGCATCTGGCTCACACTGTATCTCCATTTCTGTATCTCCCACCCACCCTGCCGCTTCCCCCACAGAGCCCCCTCTTGGCCCTCCTGATACTACATTCTCTTCATTTTCCTCCTACCTCTTGCCGCCACTTCCCTGTTTCTTTTCAGACCCATCCTCCTCTGGCTGGCCTCTAATTATGTTGGTCCTTTCAAGGTCCATCTCTTCTCACTCTGTGCCCTGACCCTGTGTGACCTCATCTGTATCCACAACATCACTGCCTCCCAGCTCTCCAGTCCCTGCCTCTGGGTGTCAAACCTCTCTGTACAATAGCCTTCTTGACATTTCTGTCTTTCTTTTTAAGCCACTTTATTTGACTTTTCTTGAATGTCTGTCTCAAAGATGTCTCCAGGTCAAGACGTTCAAAACCTAATTTTCTCTCCATTGTAGGGTCTTCATCTTAGGGATGGCTCCATCCGGGTCTACAGGACAGAAACCTGGGAGCTACCCTGATTACCTCCCTCTCCTGTATGCCCCCTATGTCCAGTTCATCACTAAATCCTGGGGATTTACCTCCTAGATACCTCCTGCATCCCATCTCCTACCTCCATCTCCACCATCGTCACTTGGACCCATGCCCCCATTGCCTCTCCCGCTGGACTTTGGTCTCCTAATTTCTTCCTTTGCTGACTCTGGCTTCTCCACTCTTTTGACCACAGCAGCAAGTGAGGTTATTAAAAACTTGTTAAGAATTTTTTAATAGAAGTTTAGGAAGAAGAATTTCTAGGGGACGATGAAGAGAGGTTGGTTAATGGGTACAAACATACAATTAGATAGAAGGAATACATTCTAATGTTTGATAGCAGAGCAGGGTGACTATAGTTAACAGCAGTGTATTGTGTATTTTAAAATTGCTAGAAGAGAGGACTTGGAATGTTTCCAGTACCTGGGTGATGGATATCCTAAATACCCTGACTTGGTCATTACACATTCTATGCATGTAACGAAATATTACATGTATCTCATAAATATATACAAATATTATGTATCAATTAAAAATGCATTTTGTTTTAAAAAGTACCATTTCCAATGGCCCTCCATTGCCTTTGAGGTGAAAGCCTCAATGTAACTAACCTTCCATGCTCAGCATGGACTGGTCACTGCCCTCTGTTCTTGGTTTATAGTGTCGTTCAAGTCTTCTATTTTCTTGTTGATTTTCTGTCTAGTTGTTCTTTGCACTGTTGAAAGTGGGGTGTTGAAGTCTCCAACTGTTGTTAAATTGTCTATTTCTCCATTTCTGTCAATTTTTGCTTCATATATTTTAGTGTTCTATTAGGTGCATATATACATTTATAATTGTTATCTCTTCCTGACAGATTGGCCCTTTTATTTAGCAAAGGTCCTTCTTTCCCTAGTAACTTTTTTTTTTTGTTTTGTTTTAGAGTCTATTTTGTCTGATATTGGTATAGTTACTCCCAGTTTCTTATGGTGGCTGTTTGCATTATATATCTTTTTGTATCCTTTAATTTTCCATCTGTTCATGCCTTTGAATCTAAAGCGTGTCTCCTATAGACAACATATAGTTGGATCATGTTTTTTATTCAGTCTGAAAAACTCTGCTCTTTGATTGGATTGTTTAATCCATTCATATTTAATGTTATTATTGCTATGGTAGAATTTATGTCTGCCATTTTGCTTTTTGTTTTCTATATCTTTTTGTTCCTCTATTTCTCTTTTACTACTTTCTTTTGCATTGAGTGAATATTCTCTAATGTAGCATTTTAATTAGTGAGGTTTTTTTTTTAACTATATTACTTGAGGATTTTCTTAGTGGTTTGTGCTAGGGTTTACCATATATATTGTAACTTATAGGAATCAAGTTCAGATTTATAGCAGTGTAATTTCAGCATGCCTTTCATTCTTTTTTAATGGACACATTATAATTGTACATGCGCCCTCTGTTCTTGATCCTGAGCCACATTCCCTATGCTCGCCATGTTCCAGTCACACGTGTCTTCTTTGTTTCCCCGGCACCATAGCCCCCATGGGTGACCTGCTCTCTCTGCCTGCGACACTCTTCCCATACTTCTTCCCATCAACTCCTCCCAGATCCTTGGAGCTTACTCAATATCACTTCCTTGGGGCAGCTGCCTGCTCCACCTTGTATGGCCCCATGAGGCTGTGCACCCCAACTTTACAGCACTTACCATAGCAGGTGTCAGACATAGCTCTGTGGGTTACTGATGAACACCGGCCTCCCTCTGTGGATTGTCATCACCATGAGGGTATAGAGCAGCTTGTCCCCAGAACTGAGCAGCAGAGGGCAGAGCACATAGTAGGCCCTCAAAAAAAAAAAAAATCAGTCAAATGAACAAACAGGGATGGATGTGAGTGTGATGTGAGTGTAATGTGAGTGTATTTGTATACTTACGTGTGTATGTCTGCATCTTTGTGGGTACATATCTTTGAGTGTGTTTGTGGGTCTTTTAATTTTTGTGTCTGTGTCCTTGTATGTGTATCTTAGTGTGTTTCTGTGTGTGTGTCTTTGTATCTGTGTTTTTCTGAGTATGTCTCTGAATGTGTGCCTGTGTATCTGCATCCACATGTGGGGATCTGTGTGTGTGTGTCAGTGCGTGTCTTTGTTTATTTGTGCACCTTAGTATGTCTGTGTATGTGTTTGTGTGCTCATGCTCCCAGGCAGAACTTCTTTCAACATCTCCTTGCCATGCAATTGTATTCTGTCTAGTTTGGTGTGGCATTTAATGACTTCCCCAAAGCTAAGCATGGCCACTGCAGAGTTGATCTCACTGTGATGGAGGTGACACGGGCATGTGGGGCCAGTGGCAGGCACTGCCTCCCCAGGATTGCCTGCTGTACCTGCTGAAGCTCCCCCACCCCCACCTTCATCCCTTTGAGGGGAAAACCCCAGACGGGTAGCTAGGTGCAGGGGCAAAGCAGGGTTATTGCCGAACAGACTGGCTCTGCTCTTGCCAGATACATGAGGCCGCCAGAGGACTGCTCAGTGCCTCAGTTTTCTCATCTGCAAAATGGGGATAGCAAAAATAATCCCCTCATAGCATCTCCACATGGAGGAAATGAGCGCCTGTACATGCAGGGCCCAGCACGGCGCCTGGCACATACCAGGGGCTCCAGAAATGTGATTTTGTTTCTCGTGCTTGCTCCCCGGTGGCTCTTGCCCCAGCAGTGGGAGAGTGATTTTCCACTAAGTCCCACTAATGACAAGAAACGCTCTTCCTTCAAGGGGGCCCTTTCCCAGTGTCATCTCTGGGGCCATCCAAGGGCTCTAGTGAAAGCAAAATCCTAACCCACTTAATGCTGAGATGTTCAGAGGCCTCCCATGGACACACAGCATTTCCCCAGCAGAGATGGGATTTAGCCCCAAGAGTATTCTATGAATCTGCCACGTACTTCCATAGTCTCCATCCTTAGCATTCTGTCTCACTATCTCCGCTTCTACATCCTCCATACTCCTCACACTTCCCAGCATTGCATTTTCTGTTTCCTCTGCCTGGAACACCATTCACATTGCTCTTCGTGGGCCCTGGCCCTCTTTCCCTGACTCTGCGCTGGGTTGGATGTCTTCTTTTAGGTCTCACTTGGACATCCCTGGCCTGGGCTGCTTTCCATGTTTCCAGATGATTCCCCAGTTCCTTGTTGGTCTCCCGTATCAGACGGTGAACTCATTACCATACATTAAAGCTACAGTACTTGGCATGGTGATTGGTAAACATTGAATGCCTGGTGGCCTGATCAGAGGTTACCTTTTAAAAACTCAGAGCTGGGCGCAGTGGCTCACGCCTGTAATCCTAACGCTTTGGGAGGCCACGGCGGGTGGATCATCTGAGGTCAGGAGTTCGAGACCAGCCTGGCCAATGTGGTGAAACCTGTCTCTACTAAAAATACAAAAATTAGCCAGGCATGGTGGCACACGCCTGTAATCCCAGCTACTCAGGAGGCTGAGGCAGGAGAATTGCTTGAACCCAGGAGGTGGAGGCTGCAATGAACCGAGATCGCGCCACTGCACTCCAGCCTGGGTGACAGAACAAGACTCCATCTCAAAACAAAAACAAAAACAAAAACAAAAAACAGATTCCTGGCTTTCTCTTCAGTGTGAGAGCTGGCGTCCCCGGGCCTGCATTTCACACAGGGCTGGGTTCTGGGGGTGTGGGTTTCCCATTTTGCAAAACCTCTGCTGAGCCCAGGCCTCCCTGTGCAGCTTTCAGTGTGGCCCTCATATAAGCGTGTGAGTTATAATAGCAACCTCACCCTAGGCATTAGCTGTGCCAACTTTGTGACTGGTGTGGAGGTGACTCTGCCTTCTCTGGCCTCAGTATAGCCATTCCAGATAATGGGCAGAATTTACATGACCTTTCAGCAATGAGAGCAGCTCAGAAGAGCTTTTTAAATTTTTTTAAATTTTATTTTTATTTATTTCTAGTTTAACAAGCACTTGCCAAGGGTGGCTTATGTGACTCTAAGTACTTTCTAAATACCATCATTTAGTGGTTTAATTCCCATCACAATTCTATGCTGTAGACATTCTTTTTTGAGATGGAGTCTCACTCTGTCACTGAGGCTGGAGTGCAGTGGTGTGATCTTGGCTCACGGCAGCCTCTGCCTCCCGGGTTCAAGAGATTCTCTCACATCAGCCTCCTGAGTAGCTAGGATTACAGGCGCACACCACCACGCCCGCCTAATTTTTGTATTTTTAGTAGAGACGAAGTTTCACCATGTTGGCCAGGCTGGTCTTGAACTCCTGACCTCAGGCGATCCACCTCCCTCAGCCTCCCAAAGTGCTGGGATTACAGGCATGAGCCACCACACCCGGCCCTAGACACTCTTAATATTCCCATTTTGCAGAGGAGGAAGCTGAGGCACAGAAAGGTTAAGTGACTTGTGCAAGGCCACACAGCAGAGCCAGGCAGTCTGACTCCACAGTCCATGTTCGTACGCTCTCCTGTCTCTTGTTATTTCTCTTTACTATGCAAAGCAGAGACTGTGTATCATTGGGACAGGGCTACTACATGTCCAGGTTCCCTCTTTTCTCCCCAGAAGCTGCTGTATGTGCAGATTGGCCTCATAAAGGTCTAATGTGATGATGGGTGGCTCTTGGTGGACCATGTTGTCTGGCAGGAGTCGGGGCCTGGGCCCAAATTACTGGGACAAGCATCAGGGATGTCAGAGTCCCAGAGGCCACCGTCAGAGCTGGTCACCATAGCAGCATACACTGGGGGACTAGGCCAATTTCCTGTCCTTCCTATCCTGGGGTAGCTGGACCCTGGGACCCTCGGGCCAGCAGCCTGGAAGTCGCAATGAGGCGGCCCCGGCCCTCGGAGGATATCCTCTTCAGCCTCTGCAAGCAAGGGGGTTGGTCCCACGGCCCTTGGCCTACTTTGTGAAATTCATCTCTGGAAAAAAATTATTCTCTGAGCAGAGCAGAGCATCTTGGCATATCACAGTGGGTGAGGCCTGCTGAGGCCGTCTGCCTCCCTGGAGGGGGCGAGGAGAGAAACCAAGGCCCAGCTCCTGCCTCCCGCCTGGCCCCCAAGGTGGGGCACCTGAGGAAGGCAGCCCCCCTTCCCCCAGCCCCCGGAGCTTGCCCGACTGCCCCAGCGGTCCCATCGGCGCACGTTTCCTGTCCCCTGCCCAGGATGGCACCCCTAGAAGGTTGGGGCTGGCCCAGCCTCCCTACAGGTAAGTAGGCTTGAGCCAGAGGATAATTTGTTTCTGTGGGATGTATTGATGAGCTGCCCTAATTAGGCACCTTGCTAATGAGAATCAAACCACTTCGCTGGGAGTCGGGCTGATCGCAGCCTAGCTCTGCCGTGAAGCAGCCATGGTCCTGAGCAGGCCACTTAGCTGCGTGGCTCTCAGTGTTATCTTCTGTAACATGGGGCTTCCTGCGTTCTTTCCCCTCCATAGCTAGATTGTTTGCTATGCCCCTGGAGACCTCGGGGGCTGTTGAGATCCGAGGCAAAAGGCGGAGGCCAATTGTGGCTTTCTTTGGGTGTTCTTGTCACTGGTGGACAGATCCATGGATGCGTTTCTCATGCCGGCCTCTTGGATGGATCTGTCAGGGAAGGAGGATGCTAGAGACGAGGACTGTTCTTAACATGTGTGACTGCATGTGTCTCTGTAAACGCAGCAGTCATTTGTTGCTGGGTAGCAAGCCACCCCAAACTTAGTGGACAGAAACAACTCTTGTATACCTGATTCTGTGGGCTGGAATTAGGACGGAGCCCAGTTGGTTCAGCTTGTCCCCACTCCATGATAGCTGTGGCTTCATCTGGGCAGATTCAACATTTGCGGGTAATTTGACAACTCCCACATCTGGCAATTGATGCTGGCTGTTGGCTGGAACCTCAGCTACCTGTGGGAACCCCAGTTTATGGCCTCTCTGCAGGGTCTCTCTGTGTGTTCTCCTTTGGGCTTCCTCACAGCATGGTGGCTGGGTTCCGAGAGGCAACATCCTGAGAGAGCCAGGTGGAAGTGCAGGTGTTTTCATGCTCTTGCCTTGCAAGTTGCTAGTATCACTTCCATCTACTCTGCTGATTGGGGCAGTAACAAAGGTGGGCCCAGGTTCAAAGGGAGGAGGACGTAGATCCCACCACTGGGTGGAAGGAGTGTCAAGGTCACCTTGCAGGAAGCCTTGGTGGCGAGGGATATTATGGCAGCCATCTTTAGAAAAGACAGTTGGCTACAGTGAGGGCGATGGTGGTGGTGATTCAGGTGACTCAGGCTGGTTGTGACAGGCTGTAAAGGGAGCCAGTGCGGCAGGAAGTGGCTGAGCAGGAGAGTAGATGTGACAGGAGGTTGTGTGAGGTGAGTTGGTGTGACAGGAAGTAGCCAAGTAGGGAGTGGGTGTGACAGGAGGATGTGTGGGGGACAGAGTGTAACAAGCGGTGGCCAAGCTGGAATGGTTGTGACAAGAGGTTGTGTGAGGGAATTCAGTGTGACAGGAGATTGTGTGGGGGAGTGTGACAGGAAGTGGCCAAGTAGGGAGTGAGTGTGACAGAAAATGGCCAAGCTGCAATGGTTGTGACGGGAGGTTGTGTGACGAGAGTGAGTATGACAGGAAATGGCCTGAGCTGCAGTGGGTGTGATAGGAAGTGGCCCAGTAGCAAGTAAGTGTGACAAGAAATTGTGTGGGGGAGTCAGTATGACAGGAAGTTACCAAGCTGGAGTGGATGTTACAGGAAGCTGTGTGAGGGCAATGGGTGTGGCAGGAGATTATGTGAGGGAAGTTAGTGGGACAGAGACGGCTATGTGAGTGGAGTGGAGTGGGTGTGACAGGAAGTGGCCACTGGAGATCTGGCTTTGTCTGCCATGATGGAAGTGGGCCTGCCAGTGACAGGGCCCTAGATGCTGACAGCACCACCTTTCCTTGCTTTCCAAGCTGCCCTCTTGAGGGCCTCAGGGTGACCAGGCCGATTCCAACGTGGGGACCCAGACCTCCTTACACGGGCCCCATCTTTCTCCCTGCCCTAGCCTCCACCATCTTCCTGTCTTCCTGTGGGCCCCTCGCTCCCCACTTCTGCCAGCAGCCTCCCCTTCTGCCAGAAAGAGTGACTCCCACCTCAACAGCCTGGAAGCACTCCAACTACCGTACTTTTCTTCAAATAAAAGCAGCTAATTAACATTATTCTTTAATTATTGCCTTTATCAACAAGGGGTCTGATTTCTACCAGCAGGATAGTTGCTTTCCCTTAAACTACCCAAGTGAATGCTTCAGTTCCTGGTGCTTTTGAAATGAATTTGATGTCATCTGCCCAGAGTCACTTAATGGGGACGCCTGGGTAATGACTGAACGCGCTAACTCCGTTAGCAGCCCTGGAAGCATGTAATTTGGCCCCTCAGGCAACAGCACTTTTGAAATCTCTGGATAGTTTTGAACTCTCTGTTCTTAATTAAATATGCAATTTTTCACGGTAACCAGGTTAATTCTTTTGTGTTGTGTTGTAATACTGTTAGGAATTTTCATAGTTCTTATTAAACATTATTCAGGCATTGTGAATTCCATAATTAAAAAAAATGAAAAGAACAAAGCTTGATTCACTCCTTTCTTTTCCCTGGCTAATTTATCAAATGAATTTTGCAAATTTTTCTTTCTGTCCCCAGACAGTGTGGCAAGTGTTTTAAAGGGGAAGGATTTAATTGCCCTGTAGGGATTGGCTGGTTATGAAGGATTTGGCTGTTTGATTAGTAAACCCAGTTGGGAATGGTCTAATGCTCCATGATCTTAAAAATTGTCTGATTGTACCCTCTCCAAGGAGGCCTCTCTCTTCGTTATGTAGAGCATCAACTTCACACAAGTGTGATTATTAGGTAGTGAGGAAAGGGAAGAGAGAAAGATCTGACTTTACTTTAAATTGGGGATCTTGGGAGATTTTTACCTCCATTTCCCTGGCTGGGGAGGAAGGGAGAACACTGAAGAGACACAGAGAGAGAGAGACAGAGAGAGAGAGAGAGAGACAGACAGACAGAGAGAGAGACAGAGAGGGAGCAATTCTCTCATCTCAGATACAGGAGAAGCTGGAGGGTGGCTGAAAGGGTGGGGCCCAAGGAGACGTTTTAGTGCACCCTTGCAGATAGTGGTGTTACAGGAAGGGGGTCCCGAGCGAGACCCCAAGATCTCACGCAAGAAAGAATTCAGGGAGAGACCGCAGTGCAAAGTAAAAGCAAGTTTATTAAGAAAGTAAAATGGTGAAAGAACAGCTACTCCATAGACAGAGTAGGACATTCCTGAAAATAAGAGGAGGAACACATCCACCCTAGGTACAATACTCATATATATGGGGAGATATGCTCTGTGACAAGGGTTTGTGATAAAGGATTAATTTTCTTAATTACTATATTTTGCAATAATCAATATTGTTATCTTTAAAGCAAAATTAGGAATCCCTTTGTTCTCCAAATATTGGGATATCTGGACACTCCCAAGTCTGGGTGTGTTTAGTAAACATTATTAATTTGTTCCCTTAACCGTAAACATCTAGAGGCTCGGAATGCTGAACTTTCTGAGGATGCAGCCCAGCAGGTACCAGCCTCATTTTCCAGCCCTCACTCAAAATGGAGTCGCTCTGGTTCAAATGTCTCTGACAGTGGCACCTGCCACACTGGTCAGCTGGAGGGGGCCCCTCTTTGCAGGGCTTCTCGGGGAGGTGGGAGGGGAGGAGGGCTACATTTCCATTCTGGAATTGGGCCCAGTCTCTGAAAAAATGTGCAGACTCCACACGGAGCAAACTGGGTAGAAATAACCATATCGCCCAAATGTTCTTGATAAGGCTAGGTGCCCCTGGCCCCAGCGAGGGGCTTCTTGGCAGAGATAGCCAGGCCAACTCCCAGTGAGGGGAGCAGGACTACTGCCTGATTCCTGGACCATTTTGTTTTCTATGAGGGCCCCATTGATGCCTCAGTTTCCCTCACCTTCCAAATGGGGCACGTGACTCTTCTGACTTTCCTAGGTCCCCCCACCCAGGGTCAGCTTTCTGTATCCTAGAGGTGGGGAGGTGGGAGATGAAGTGGGGGCAGGGTGGCAGGAGCCAGATCACCTTGAGGGCTATGGTGAGGAGGTGGGATTGTTTTCTAAAGATAGAGCCCCTTAGATATAGGAGGAGGGGAGGGTGATGTGGAAGGGGTGCTACCAAGGAGAAGGTGGTCGTGGGGGGTCCTCAGTCCTGGCTGGGATGCCGAGGGTGGGGGCAGTGAGGGAGGTGTTGGGGAGAGCATGGGCCCCTTTCTCCCCAGCTTACCCCTACCAGACTTAAGCCTGACTTCTGGGGAAGCCCCCTTCCCTGCCCCCGACCTTGGGATCCTGACTCACATGGTCTTTCCAGCAGGTCCAGGGCTCCATTTAGAATCACTCCCGGGAAATCATGGCAGGGAGGTGGCAGTGACTTCTGTTAGGTCTTGTGGCAGTGTCCTTTGTTGATTCTCTTGGTTAAAACCAAGAGTTTTGGACCCTGAACTCTGCTGTGAGAGATCTTTATTGAAACCGAATCATGACCCCACACCCTCTCCCCAACTGAAAAGCTTTCAGTGGCTCCCTATTGTTTATGGGACAAAGTCCAAACTTCTACCTTATGAGGCTGGTCGTGAGCACCTCCCCTCACCCTCATCCAATCCCACCATGTCATCTCTTATAAACTTCCTCGTCCCCAAATCCCCCAGCCAGGGTTAAATTATTACCCAGCCCTCAAATGCCTTACGCTGTCTTACATCCAGACTTGGCATATCCTGGTCTCCCTGCCTGGAACTCCCTTTTTAAAATCACCGTACAAACAGACACACTTCTCTCATCTTTCGTGTCTGATCTGGGAGGCTCTCCTGAACCTCCTGGCTGGATTAGGGGGCTCCCCCATAATAATGCACATCATAATTGATTGGAGTTCCTTGGCTAGTCTTTTTAAGACCCATGAGGGCAGCATTTGTATCTGTCTTCTTGACTCTTGTCACAAGCACAGAGTTTGGCACATATTAGAGGCTCAATAAATGCCCATGGATGGGCCAGAGTTTTGGGAAGCAGGGATCTCACTCCTGAACTTGCTGGAACCCAGTAGGAAGCAGGGGTTCTATCTGGTTTGCGGATACTGAGACGAGCAAATTCCCTTTCCCTCAGGCCCAGCCCGGCCCAGCCTGTAGCTCTGGAAGGTTCTGTTGGAGCTGACAGCCTCTGGGAAGTGAGGACTAGACAAAGTCCCTTCTCTAAGGGCCAAGGAAAAAGTTAGGCCATGGTGGTCACCCTCGGGAAGCAGAAACGGAAGCCTTAGCCCCCTCTTCCTTCTACCCTCTTGTCAGCTTCATCCTCTGGAAGGCCAAGTGCCAGGGACAAAGATGAAGGGATGTGACACAGTTATCGTCCCTCCAGGAGGGGCGTGAGGCCTTCAGAAAGGAAGCAGTGACACCTGCCACCTCCCAGCCTTGGGATGCCAGGACCTCCAGCTGGCCCTGCTGCCCCCTCCCCCGCTTCCTTGGGGCTGTTCATGGGAGGCCTCCCCTCATGGCTGTGGCCCTGCAGAGGCCAGCCGCTGATCAGTGAGTCTCTGCAGGCCCAAGCTGTCCCCAGATGTGTGCATGCATATGCACACACACACACACACACACACACACACACACACACAGCAAGGAGGATGCCTGGCTTTCTGAGCTACAACCCAGGACCCATGCACACCACAGTCCATGGCATCCTTTGCTCTCCTTTCTTCCTATTTTTATTCCTGTTTGAGTCACTATGGGACAATGAGGAGAGCCACTGAGGAAAGCTTTTCGGGATGGGGGAGGAGGAGGGAAGCATGGGCTGTAGAAGGGTTTTCGGGGAATCCCACGACTGCAAGTGAAAGAAGGGCTTTTTAAAAGTAATTTTGCATTATGGAAGACAAAGTCGCCCCATTATCGGAGGGCTTTACAAATAGAGAAAAGAGGAAGAAGGAGACTGGAAGAACACCCTTTGGCATGGTGTGTGTTTCTGTCTACACCCTCGTCCTGCTTTGCCCGCCTAAGTACATCCAACTCTACATCACGGTCTTTCCACTTATACCCACATTAGCATTCTCCACGTCATTTTGCTGTCTTTCGGACAAGCGTTTTACCTGCCCGATGTTCTGTGAAGTGAGTGGGTCACTCTCCCCTCAGCCTGGCCCTGGCCCTGGGTATCTCTGGGTTTTTTGTCGTTTTCTTTTTTCTGCTGTGATGGAAACACTGTGCTTCCAGTTTTATGTACTTGGCCTTGTTCTCAGCAGGCAGGGATGTGGGGGGCGCCTCGTGGCCAAACACCAGGCTTTAGAGTCAGGCACAGTCAAGTTCAAATTCTGCCCCTGCCAATAAGACTTCAGCGCGTGCACTCCATCTGTGCCTCAGCTTCCTCGCCTGTGAAATAGGTCGCCTCGCAGCCTCACTCACAGGGAGTGTCGGCAGGGTTAGATGAGTGAATTTGCCTGAAGCATGTAACCCAGGACTGTTCTAGCACGGAGTAAGTGCCCAATCCATGTTAGCACTTCTGCTATAGCCGCCGGCGGGTCTGCCATGCTTAGTGTATACTGGGTGCTCACTTAATCCTTGCGGAATGAATGTGGGTGGCACCTTCCCATGTAGGTACTTTTCTGCCTGTGTGGCATGCACGTTTCTGTTGGGGACACCTTGTGTAGAGATAGATGTGTATCATACACTCACACACGCTCTCTCATCTACACCAAAGGGAGTGCACAGGGCTGTCCTCCTGGTTGAGGGTCCACGAGCATTTTATTGTGATTAAATATTTATCCGGGGCTTGTACTATGAACATTGCATTTTATGGCAGATAAAATGATGTCATGTAAAAAAAGGCTTGAAAAGCTGTGTGGCCCCATTCACAGAAAAGGCAGCTGTCACTAGGGAAGCAGAGCTGGGAGACGGCTCGAGCGAGGGGAGTCATCCATTCAACAAGTATTTATCTCAGCACCTACTGTGGGCCTGGGCCCAGGCCACGTGCCGGAGATGCCCTGGTGATGAAAACAGACATGCTCTCTGCTCTCGAGGTGCTTTGGTCTCTGTGGTGTTTAGAAATCAAATCCCTGAAGAGACCCACATTAATCAAATAATCACATATTTGAAGTTGCAAGCCCAGCTAAGGGCTGCAGAGGAAATGAGCTAGGAATGATGAGACCATATTACAGGGACCAGCTTTAGTCTGGAAGTCAGGGAAGGACTCCTGAGTTAGCCCAGTGAGGAGGCGCATGGTAGTCCAGTTAGAGGGTAGGAGCGAGATGTGCGAAGGCCCTGGGGTGGGAGACCATACCTCTGGCTCCAGCAAGTGAAAGGTGGGCAGTGTGGCTGGAGTGCAGGGTGAAGGGCAGATAGGCAGGATGTGTCTGAGAAGCAGGGGACAGGGCAGGGTCCCATGAGGCTTGTAGGCCCTGCTGAGGTCGTTATCATGAATGGGAGGGGACGAAAGAGGAGGAGGATTGAAGGGGTTTGAGGACAGAGAGCCTGGGCTGGGAGACCTGGCCAGACAAGGAGGCTTAGCTGTTGCCTCCACCATCCTCTGGCCCAAGTCTGTATGTCTGGCCTCCCTGGGCATCCAGAAAGTTCCCCAGTCTCCCAAGGTTGGCACAAGAATAAAGCAATTTCCCTGGGCAGATGAGGAGGGGGTTGAGGGTGGTCCTCACCACATTCAAATACAGGCTTCTTTTCTGCCATGTATTATTTACCTAGGGGCTTGTGAAAAAGAGAAGGATCCAAAAAAAACAACAGCAAGCAAACACCCCCTCCCCCCACCACCCTGCAGTCCAACATTGCTCCAGGCGTGCAGCCTGAGGGAATGAGTATTTTTTTTCCTCCAGTATCTGTACGTGTGTGAGCATGTGAGACGCTGTGCTAGAGCTCCAGGTCCCAACCAGCATAGGTGGCTCTGGGGCCTTTGGGACATCGCGAGGCGGCACCATCGCCTCCCACAGCCCCGGCAAAGGTTGGCCTCATGGGGCCTGCACTTTGAGATACGGTGGGCTTCCGTTTTAGATCAGTCTGGTGCTCCAGTAACTCCAGCAGGGCCTGCCTTGGGGGCTGGGGGTTCTCAGGCAGGCTGGCTCCTGGAAGGGTAAAATTCCCAGAGGAAGGGAGGTAGCGAGTCCGGGGGATTTGGCGGCCGCCCCTGCATAGCATTATTCTGTGCCTCACACATTCTTATTAGCATCGTAATCGCTCCAAAATACTGATTCATTATTGCACTCCGAGCTGCAGACGGAGGCAATGGGGTTTAATAGTTCCATATGAGCCATTCTGGGCTGTTGAGTAAATATTGCTCATTGTGAAAAATTGGGTAAATGTGTGTTTACGCTGTCGAGGAGCGAGGCACCAGCCAAGTAGGTAGCTGGTGTCTGGACATGCACCCGGCAAGGTGGTGGGGACAGGGGAATGAATGTTCTCTGGGAAATATTTGCTTCCTGTCTGGCTGGCCTTGGAAATGTTCTTTGGACATGGACGTTGGGATCAAGAAAGGGGCTTTACCTCAAAATCAAGGTAGAAGGAGCCTTGTGTTTCTTGTGCGTGTGCAAATGGCTTAGGAGTGGGCAGGAAAGACCCTGGGCCTTCCAAGCTTGTAGAGACAAATGATTGGATTCAGAATCAGAGAGCTGGTTACCACCAGCAGCAGGAGGCGATGTGGCAGGTGAGAAGTGTGCAGGTGAGAGGGTTTGACTCTGGGTTCCCTGTTCAACCACCTGCTAATTGTGGGATTTCAGGCAAGTTACCTGACCCCTCTGTGGCCTCAGTTTTCTCATCTATAAAATGGGGATAAAATAACTTCCTCGTAGGGCTATCATGGGATTTAAACATACGCTTATAACATTCAAGTGGTGTCAGTTGGCATCATGCACAAGAAATGTTCACCATTAATATGATTCTGGTCTAGCATGGAGAGAAGGCCTGGATTTGAGTCTGGCTATCTCAGGGCTTTGATTTTGAGAATCTGATGAAAGCTATGGATCTTCTTTTTAGAAATATGATGGAGACTTAGCATTTTGCATGTAGTTTCAGGGAGTTGCAAGATTCCCCCAAATCTAGCCATGTACCCCAAGTTAAGAGCTCCTACTTTTATCATGCACCTTGCTCTGGGGTGGAAGTGAGGCATAGAATTTGGAACTGCCTAGAAGTGGGTTTCAACCCAAGGCCTGGGTTTTATCCTGGCTCTGCCTCATATTTGCTGTGAAATTGGGCAAGTGAATGACCCATCTCTGAGCCTCAGTCTTTTTTACCTAATGTTGAGTGGCTTCATGTGGAAAGGACTTGGAGTATATAAAGCACTGGGCCCAATGCCCGGCATACAGTACTCAGTAAATATCATCCTCATAATTCCTTCTGGTTAAAGACCTAAGAGTTGCTAAATGTAGACTCTGACTCTCTGCTGTTTTTATAGTCTGTGTATAATAATTTCATTATCTGAAGTTCTTGGGTGTGATCCTGCTAATGTTGCCTGTTGATCTATGGTAGACCAGTTCCCCATGTGTTTTGTAATTTTGGATTGAGAGGTCATCTTTGGTAGGCTTGTATCTCTGTGAATTCTATGTGACCAGGATTGACCTTAGTGCAGAAGTCATCCAGATAGCAAATATTTTTCACTTTGCAGACTACAGTCTCTAACACAATGACTTAACTCTGCCTTTGTGCAAAAGCAGTGATAAACAAGAAATAAACTAATGAGTGGGGCTGGATTTGACCCAGGGCCGATGGGATTTGGCCTACAGGTCACTGTTTGCTCACCCTTGTTTTTTGGTTTGTTTGTTTGAGACGGAGTCTTGCTCTGTTGCCCAGGCTGGAGTGCAGTGGCACGATCTCGGCTCACTGCAAACTCCGCCTCTCCTGAGTTCAAGCAATTCTCCTGTCTCAGCCTCCTGAGTAGCTGGGACTACAGGTGCACATCACCATGCCTGGCTAGTTTTTGTATTTTTAGTAGAGACGGGGTTTGACCACATTGGTCAGGCTGGTCTCGAACTCCTGACCTCAGGTAATCCACCAGCCTTGACCTCCCAAAGTGCTGGGATTATAGGCATGAGCCACCGCACCCAGCCACCCCTGTGTTATTAATAGAAATATTTTGTATTTGTTTTGGCTTAATGTCCAGCAGTATTACCATGTGAGAATGATTTTTAAGTTAATTTCTTGGCAGAGAACAGTAGTTCTCAAAGTGTGGTCCCTGGACCAGCAGCATCAGCATCCCCAAGAAATTTGTTAGACATGCAAATTGTCGAGCTCCAACCCAGATCTCCTGAGTCAGGAATCCTGGCAGTGGGACCCAGCAGTTTCTATTTTAACAAATTGCCCAGGTGATTCTGATCCATACTCAAGTCTGAGAATTCCAAAGGGACAATCAATTTGAACTCCAAACCCATGCGAGTGCAGGATTATGGTTATACATTCTCAGGGGAAGCTACCTTTTGGTTTTCCAAACTAGAGGCAAGGCAGAGACAGATCAAGGCATGTCTTCTTCCAGTGTTAGTGGATAGAGGTGTTCTGATCCACATACTCGCTGAGTGTGAAGGCCTCTTCAGTACTAAGATGGGCACCTATCTATCCCATGCCCCACTCCTTTATTGCAGAGGGCACTTAATTATTGGTTCACATACTTAGCAGTCTGAGTGAGTTCCCTCTTCAGTTTTGGCCCTTGGGAATTTCTTACTTTTTCCAGAACTGACCTATATATTTAAAGGGATGCTGGTATACCTTATCCAGTATTTCTGGGTGTTTTATAGTGGGAGCATTTCAGGTTATATTGTCTTCCATGTTACTGGACACTGAAGTCCTCTCAATGTAATGAAAATTAGTTTCTCCTTTAGAATTCTTTTTAGAAGGTCTGGTAGCCTCCTGCTTCACTGGTGACCTGACACTTTTCACTTACCCTGGGGTCTGAGCCCACTTTGTCACTCACAGGGACCAAAGGCTGAACAAATCCTGGGAGTCTCTCTACCTTACCTCTGCCTGGAGCTGGAGTCCAGTTCAGCCAACGTTTGTTAAGCACCCATTGGGTGAGGGGTGAGGGGAGTTCACTTTATACAAGTGACAAGTATCTCTGCTAGAGGACACCACCCCATGGTCAGTGTATTCCAGCATGTAAATCCCCTTGCTCTGCTCTAGGGGAACTTGACTGCTCTAAGGAGGAGGGTCAGAATGGTGTCAGGGTGAAGAGCTCTGGCTTTAAAATCCATTGGAATCAAGTTCAACTCCCAGCTCTGCCTTTTACAAGCTGTGTGATCTTGAGTGAGCCTCTGCCCCTCTCTGAGCATCAGCTTCTCCAACTGCAAGGTGGGATGACAGAGGGTTGCTGTTAAGGATCCAGTGAGATCATTCATGGAAGGCACTTGGCCAAGCACCTGGTACATGGTGAGTCCTCCAGGGAGCACCTCCAATGAATGTTTGTGACTGGAATGGCCGTTATGAGTCTGTTTCTCATGATAACCGACTTGGAGAAGTCAGGCTGGGGAGGTGGACTGGCCCTTGGGTGCTCCAGAGGCCATCGTGTCACAGATACAACTTGGGGTAGCAGCCCTGCACCCCACCACTATTCCTGTAGTGACCTTTCTTCATGCTTTCCACCTCTACACAGTCATGTGACTCAACCCAGGAAGACAGGGAAGCTGCCAGTCATAGTATGCCATCCCTCTGGCTACAGTGATTGGACCACCAGAGAGTCACATGACTTAAGCTGGGCCAATCAGAATTCTCTGGTACTTTTCAGCTGGAGCAGGTCTCTGTTGTCCCTATAGCTGAGACGTGGGAAGGAAGAAAGGAAGGAAGCCTGAAGGAAGGAAGTCTAGAGCCGCCTGGAGGCAGGGTTTCAGACAATTTCATGGGGACAGAGTGAAACCAGCCTGCAGGGAGAGGCTAAGAGACAGAGTCCTGATTTGAATCATCCTGAGGGCATTCTCTCTCTTTATCGTTTGATTACAGGAGCCCAACCCATGTTTTTATTTGTGTATTTGGTTGTTTAAGCTTGTTCAGACCGAGTTTCTGCCACCTACAATCAGAAACACCCCCAAAACATGTCTCCCCATGGAAGGTTCCGGGAACTCTTGGCCACTCCATTCTGTGTGACCAAAATTCTCCAAAGGTGAATCAGACACAAGTCATGTCTGCCAACCTGGCCTGGTGTTGATAGGCGGGTCTGGTGCAGGATGTACCCTGTTGTTTGAAGAACATCATGTGGAGAACAAGGGGACAGAGGGAGGCCATAGGGTGTGCCAGGACACAGGCCTGGGCAGAACTCCACCACCCTTGGGATTTGAGTATCCCAGAAGAAGGAACATTTGGGCAGTGACATGGCCATGTTCGTGTCACTGAACCACCCTGAGAAATAAGGTCCCGCGCAGAGCTTCAGCAGATGTGGAATAGTTCCACCCCCTGCCTCAGATTCTTTTCAGGGCAGCCCATCACGACCCCTCTAGCAAGAGTTACCTGCCCTCCCCACCGATCATACCCTAGTCCAGCAGGGAATGGCTTTTGCCCACTTTTAAAAAGTGGCCTGCAGAGCCTGGCGAAGTCCCTCCCGTGTCCCCAAGCCCACCACACCTGCTTCGTTCTGCATAGTTCTCCCCGCTTTATCTTTGATCTCAAAAAAAGATCATCTTGGAAAAGATTGTTTTGTGTGCAGTTTACCCAAATGCCACTTTTTCTAATTTTGCCGGAGTTGCCCTCCCCACTTTCCCTCTTCCTTTTCTTTCTTTCTTGGATTTGCTCTGGGGTTGGCTTCCTCGAACCAAAATAACTCTCACAATGCACAGGGAAAAGTGCTTCCTGTGGATGAATGACATCTGTATGAAAAGCCAGCCAGCCGGCCGATTTCTGTCCTTTGAAGACGCTTGTCAGCGAGTGCTGCGGTGAAGTGTCAGGCGTCACCCGGGGTGACTGTGGAGACGCCTGCAACAGTGAGCTTTTTTATTTTTTTCCAGAAAGCCTTCAGCCCAAACTCTGGGCTCTCCGGGGACCCAGGAGCGCATCCATTTTCTGAGGAGATGAAAAGCGATGCTGGTTTGAGCAGCTGGTGTTTTCTCCTGTGTTCCCGGCAGGGCCCTGCAGCAGTGCCTTTGTAGCTCACCTGCTCTGCCTTGCGTGGTTCAACTCCGCCCCCTTCTTCCCTGATTCGTGTGCCCATGTCAGGGGCTGTTTGCACCCTGAGAGGAGAGGAGACGGGGTGCCGGTAATGCCCCCATGGCCCTCCTGTTGGACAGGAGGGGAAAATCTCATGGTTAAGAATGTGGCCCTGGGCAGGGTTTGGTGGCTCATGCCTGTCATCCCAGCACTTTGGGAGGCCGAGGCGGGTGGATCATTTGAGGTCAGGAGTTCGAGACCAGCCTGGCCAACATGGTGAAACCCCATCTCTACTAATAATACAAAAAATAGCCGGACTGGGTGGCCTGTACCTGTAATCTCAGCTACTCGGGAGGCTGAGGCAGGAGAATTGCTTGAACCCAGGAAGGTAAGGTTGCAGTGTCCGTAGATCGCACCTCTGCATTCCAGCCTGGTGACAGAGCAAGACTCGGTCTAAAAGAAAGAAAAAAAGGAATGTGGCCCTGGAGTCAGAATGGGTCTGGGTTCAAATCTCTGAGCCTCAGTTTTCCTATCTGAAGAATGGGGTTGTTAGGTTTAGTGAAGACAGTATGGGAAAATTACTTCCTTAGCACGGAGCCCAATACATAGTAAGTGCTCACTTCTCCAGGTTCACCCTGGCTGACCCTTCCTCTCAGCCCATGTGCTGCCATATTAAAGTTAGCACAGCTCTGAAGGGCAGTATTTTCTCCCTCTTCCGTGCTCTTCCCCTTGCCCACAGTAACTTTCCATACTTCGTCTGTCCAGTGGACTCCTGTTCATCCATCAGGGCCCAGCTTAAAGCATCACCTCTCTGTAAACCCTCAGTCAGCAACCCCTCCATCCTAAGGCTGGCCATAAACAAAGCCTTGCTCTGTGTGTGTGTGTGTGTGTGTGTGTGTGTGTGCGCGCGCGTGTGTGTGTGTTATTTTCTCATAGCTCTGGAGGTTAGAAGTTTGAGATCAAGGTTTCAGCAGGTTCTTTCTGAGGCCTCTCTTATTGGCTTATAGATGCCTGTCTTCTCCCTGTGTCTTCACATGGTCATACCCTGGGCATGTCTGTGTCTTAATCTCTTATTAGAAGGACACCCATCAGATTGAATTAGGGCCCACTGTCATGATCTCATTTTTACCTTAAATACATCTTTAAAGGCCCTGCTCCAAATACAGTCTCCAAACACACATTCTGAAGTCCTGGGGGTTAGGACTTCAGTTGGGGAGGCGGGAGTTCAGCTCCTAATAAAAAAGTCACCATGCCTAGGTGTGCTTCTAGATGATACCTGTGTGGGCTTCAGTCTCTACAGGACCCTAGAGCATGGCTTTAGACAGCCCCAGGGCCCAGCTCCTGTGATGAGGATGGGAGGGTCGCTGCATGGGGGATGCCGGCCTGGGAGCTCCTGGCCGCAGAGCTTGGCTGCCTTCCCTGACTTGAGGCCTAGGCACACACCTCCATGCTCTGCCTGGTCTTACAAGGAGTTTGTAAGTCTCTGAACTGCCCACAGCAGCCATGGAGGCGTAGGGAGCCAGAGTCTCAGATATCCAGGGAGTGGGAGAAGGGAATGGGTGTGCCTGAAGACATCCTGCCCAGCTTCAGCAAGTGGGGGTCTCTGGACAACCTTCTAGGGCCACACAAGAAATAAAACCGTTGTTAACACTATCTATGGGTTTGTCCTCCCTCTCTCCCTTCCTTCCTTCCCTTCCTCCCTTCCCTCTCTCCCTCCCTCCCTCCCTTCTTCCTTCCTTCCTTCTTTCCTTCCTTCCTTCCTTCCTTCCTTCCTTCCTTCCTTCCTTCCTTCCTTCCTTCCTTCCTTCTTTTTCAAGATTTTCTTTACAGCAGTTTTAGGTTCACAACAAAATCGAGAGTTGCCGTATCCTCTCTGCCCCAATATGTGCATAGCCTCCCCCATTATCAGCATCTCCCACCAGAATCGTACATTTGTTACAAATCAATGTACATTGACACATCATTACCCAGAGTCTGTAGTTTACATTAGGATTCATTCTTGGTGTGGTATGTTCTATGGGCTTGGACAAGTGTATAATGACATATATCTGCCATCATAGTATCATACCTAGGATTTTTGCTGCCCTAAAAATCATCCGTGCTCTACTACTTCATCCCTCCCTGCTCCCTCCAACCTCTGGACACCAGTGACCCTCTTACTGTCTCCATAGTTTTGCCTTTTCCAGAATTCCATATAGTTGGAATCATACAGTATGTAGCCTTTTCAGATTGGCTTTTTTCACTTAACAACCTGCATTTAAGATTCTTCCATGTGTTTTCCTGGCTTTTTAGCTCATCTTTTTTTAGTGCCAAATAATATTCCATTGTCTGCAGGTACCACCGTTTATTTATCCATTCACCTACTGAAGGACATTTTAGTTGGTTCCAAATTTTGGCAGTTATGAGTAAGGCTGCTGTAAACATCTTTCTCTAGGTTTTTTTTTTTTTTTTTGTGGACATAAGTTTTCACCTCCTTTGGGTAAATATGAAGGAACAAGATTGCTGGATCATATGGTAAGAGTATGCTTAGTTTTTTAAGAAACTGCCAAATTGTCTTTCAAAGTGGCTACACCATTTTGCCTTCCCACCAGCAATGAATGCGTGTTCCTGTTGCTCCACATCTTTGCCAGCATTTAGTGTTATCAATGTTCTGGATTTTGGCCATTCTGATAGGTGTGTAGAGGTATCTCACTATTGTTTTAATTTGCATTTTCCTGATGATATACGACTTGGAGCATCTTTTCATATGCTTATTTGCATATACTGTATATCTTCTTTGGTGAGGATCTGTTAAGTTCCTTGGTCAATTTTTTAAACAGGCTATTTTCTTATTGTCAAGTTTTAGGAGTTCTTTGTATAAAAGTCCTGTATCAGATGTGTCTTTGGCAAATATTTTCTCCCAGTCTGTGGCTTGTTTTCTCATTCTGTTAATACTCCCTTTCCAGGAGCAGAAGTTTTTAATTTTAATGAAGTCTGGCTTATCAAGAATTTATTTGCTTTTGGTGTTGTATCTAAAAAGTCAACACCAAACCCAAGGTCATCCAGATTTTCCTATGTTATCTTCTGGGAGTTTTATAGTTTTGCATTTTACATTTAGGTCCATGATCCATTTTGAGTTAATTTTTGTGAAGAGTGTAAGGTCTGTGTCTCTATTGATTTTTATTTTTTATTTTTGGCATGTGGCTGTCCAGTTGTTCCAGCACCATTTGTTGAAAAGACAAATATCTCTTCTCCATTTTATTGCCTTTGCTCCCTTGTCAAAGATCAGTTAACTATATTTATGTGGGTCTATTTCTGGGCTCTCTGTCCTGTTCTATCGATCTATTTGTCTATTCTTTCTCCAATACCACACTGTCTTCATTACTGTAGCTTTATAGTAAGTCTTGAAGTTCAGTAGTGTCAGTCCTTGACTTTGTCCTTCTCTTTCATATTATGTTGGCTATTCTGGGTCTTTTGCCTCTCCATATAAACTGTAGAATCAGTTTGTCACTACCCACAAAAATAGCTGGCTGGGATTTTAACTGGGATTGCACTGAGTCTATAGATCAAGTTGGGAAGAACTGACAACTTGACAATATTGAGTCTTCCTATCCATGAACATGGACTATCTCCCCATCTATTTAGTTATTCTGTGATTTTATTCGTCAGAGTTTTGTAGTTTTACTCATATAGATCTTGCACATAGTTTGTTACATTTAGCCTTGCTTTATTTATATATAGTATTTAGTCTACATGTGTTTGTGTTCCTGTCAAGAGCAGGTTCCCACACCCTGTGGGCCTCCCTGCCCCCATGCAGTTCCCTCTGTGTTTGTAACCCTTTGTCCATCTCTCCATCACAATACAGTGCTGATTGCAATATCTACCTCAAGGAATGGCAAACTCCCATGAGCTTAGGGACAGGCAAGTAACATGAATGGTGGATCAGGCTCTGAGTAAAGTAGGAGGAAGTTTGTTGGGGGTATGGGGTGCTAGGCAACTGGGGAGACCTGGCCCTGCCCCAGGGAAATAAAATTGATTAAAATACTGGGCTGGATGGATAAAATACCTGATTACTGGCTGACTGTGGCCCTTGGGCCTGCTTGTTTACAGTCTCTGGTTCTATTTATGTCCTCTTCCCAGCCCCATCAAGGCAGGGAGCCCTTTGAGGGCAGGGACCCCTCCCCCAACCCCAACTTCAGTGTCCTCTGCTGGGGGGCACACACATTGCAGAAGTGAGCAAATTTTTGATGAATGAAGAAACACATTTGCTGTTATCCTACTCATTCTTTTGAAAAGTAAAATATATTCAATGTGGCCATTATAGAAAGAACAGATAAGCAAAAAGAAGAAAATAAAAATGGTCCACTTAAGAGATAAATTTTTGTCACGGTTTCTTTAGATCTTTTGTTGACATGTCACAGACAGAAAAAGGCACAGATCCTATAGGTTCAGCTCAACTGTCACAAACTGAACATACTCATGGAATTTCCACTCAAATTAAGAACTAGAAAATCCCTGGCCCTCTTAGAGGCTCCTTCGTATCCCTTCCAGTCACTACCAACCACCCACCCCCCAGGGTGAACCCTGTGCCCACTTCTTACAGCACAGATTAGTCTTGTTTGGAATCAACCAGCCTGTGCTCTTCTGTGTCTGGTTTCTTTTACCAACATTATGTTCTCAAGATTCACCTGTGTTGTGCGGCATTACAGTTTGTTGTCATTGCTGTGTAGCATTCTCTTTTGTGACTACACCACAATTTTTCATCCATTCCCCTGTTAAGGTACATTTGAGTGGCTTCAGTTGGGGGCTCCTACAAACAGTGCTGTTAGGAACATTTGTTCATTACTGTCTTTTAGTGCACAGGGGCACACAGTTTTCTTGGGTATAAATAAGGGTTTCTCAGTCTTGACACCATTGATGTTTGGGGCCAGAGAATTCTTTGTTGTGGGTGCTGCTCTGTGCGTTGTAGGATGCTTAGCAGCATCTCTGGCCTCTATCTACTCAGTGCGATAGCATCTCCCAAATTGTAACAATGAAAAATGTCTCCGGGGGCTGGTCATGGTGGCTTATGCCTATAATCCCAATGCTTTGGGACGCCAAAGCAGGAGGATCACTTGGAGCCAGGAATTTGAAACCAGCCTGGGCAACACAGGGAGACCCTGTCTCTATGAGAAAATTTAAAAATTAGCTGGGTATGGTGGCAAGCGCCTGTAGTTCTAGCTACTCCGGAGGCTGAGGCAGGAGAATGTCTTGAGGAGTTCAAGGCTGCAGTGAGCGATGATCACACCACTGCACTCCAGCCTGGGGGACAGAGGGATACCTCATCTCAGAGAAAAACAATTGAATTTTAGATAAACAGTGAATGATTTTCAGTATAAGTATATCCCATGCAATGTTTGGGATATACTTATACTAAAAAAAAAAATCATACATTGTTTATCTGAAATGAAATGTGTCATTGTTTATCTGAAATGAAATGTGTCTGGGTGTCCTGTATTTTATCCAGCAATCGGCTTAATTCCATTTCTTCTGTCTTCTGAACACTGCAGTGAATAACATCCTGGAAGCTGAATCTTTGCATACAAACCATGTTTCCCAGTCGAGGCTTCTCATTTGAATCACCTGGGGGCTTGTTAAAGCCCAGCATCTCGCCCCACCCCAGGTCTCTCGAAACAGATTGCAAATTTGGTTGAGACTGAATCTGTAACTAAGTCCCCAGGTGATTCAGAGCCAAAGACGTAGGGTAAACACCTGAGTAGAGTAAATTGTGAGGGCCACCCGCCTATTTCGCTAAAGTGGAAGATGGGGCAGGGAAACATTCTAGCTGTTCCCTGCCTGATCAGCTGGGTCAGCTCTCTGCTGTGAGTGAAGATAGAGGCTTGTCTTTGCCCAACCTTGCCTGGGACCCCTCTGCCTGTGGCCTTCAGCTTGGACAGGGGGCTGAGGGGGTGCCCCTACCTTGAGCTGCCCCTCAGCTCAGCCCAGAGCCTGCCCTGACTTCACAGGAAGCAGCAGCTGAACTTTGGCAGCAGGAGGGAAGTGGGGGGTTGTGGGCACCAGAACCAACTGCATTGATTTCTGGCTGCAGTTCTTGGAAGGCCTGTCATGAGGAAAACAGGCAGCGGGTAAACAGCAGACGGCGGCAGGGCCCAGCAGCTGGGAGGACCTGGCTGGACCTAGGAACCTGTCTTAGCTCGTGGTACCGGCCAGGTCTGGCCACCACTGTTGGGGACACCGTGCCCCTCGGGCCCAGGCCTGAGCCTCTCGAGACCCCACCATCTAGCCAGGTAAGGTTTGCCCAGACCTGGTCCCCCAGAACTGTCTCCCTTGCTCTGCCCCTGCCTGTTCAGAGCCTTAGGGATTCTGGGTTCATTCATCCAGTCCCCCACAGGCCTTCTCTGGACCAGGCCTGGCCGAGTCACACCTGAGGGCTGCAGAGGATGGAGGAGACAGCCACCACCCCCACCCCCCACCACCCAGCCGCACCCTGAGCCCTGCTCACAGGAGCAGCCGCTCTCCCTGGCTCTGGAGGGCAGATCTGATTTCTGTTCCATCCCAGCTGCTGCCAGGCACCCCTGGAGCCGTCAGACCGCAGCCAACTAGGCGGGCCGACCCTGTCTGCGCAGAGCCACCGCAAAATTACAGCTCAGACAGGATCAATAGGATCAGGTCGAGGGGCCTTTGGAGGATGATTTTGCTTTGAGGAGAGGTCAGAGGGGCTTCAGACTTATAAATTTATTATTTAAGGGAGGATTCCTGGTGGTCCGTAAGAGTTTGTTGGACAGGGAGTTGGCCTCTCTCTGGTCTCCTGGATGTTCTCTGGGGTGGAGTCAAAGCGTCTAGGCTGTTTGCGATGGGATAAGCTGGGTGCCTTCCCCGGCAATGGGTAGAGGGGATGATCAGGGTTTGGGGGCAGCGTTCGGATGCGGAGAGGGAGCTGCTCACCTTCCATGTCCATTTGCTGCTGTTGTTTTTTGGGGAGAGCTCAGTTGACAAATATATTTGTGTGTCATGCTGTCTTTTTACTTATTTGGGCGCTTATTGTAGGCCTGGCATTATTCTAGGCTGAGGGAATCAGGTCATGACCAAGCCAGATGGAGCTTATAAGTCTCATTATTTGTCCTTACTGGGGAGGAATCCAAGGCCCAGGGTGTCCGAGTGATTTGCCCAGGGTCACTCAGCAAGAGGCCCCTGCCAGGTTCCACTCTGCCTAGGAAATGAGCAAAATAGTCTCCATCAGACCAAGTGGGAAACTGAGTCTGAATAATAATGATGATGATAATAACCAGCCTTCAGTAAGGGCTTAGCAGGTGGCCGGGAACTGTGCTAAGTGAACCCTATGAGGTTGGTACTATTGTCTTCCCATTATAAAGGTGAGAAAACTAAGGTTCAGAGAGGTGAATTCACATTCTTGAAGTCACACAGCTAGTCAGTGGCAAAGCTAGAATTTGAACTCAGGACTTTGGCTTTCAAGCTTAACCACACATCATGTGGATACTTTCTGAAGTTCCCACTAAAGCCTTGTGCACTGGAGAGGCAAGTCAGCATCATCATTTTTATAAAGATCAGGTCCTCAGGCTGGGATGTGCAGTTGAGGAGGATGCTAATCCACCACCACTGACTTTATCCAGAACTGATCTAAGGAGCAAAACAAAACACCTGGCATATAATAGCAATATTAACAATGGAAACAACAGATGCCATTTTTGAGCAGTTGAATAATTCCCATGTGCCTCCTACCATGTAGAGATGACCTAGAGAACTTCAAATCCATAGCTGCATTCTTGTTCCCATTTGATGGATGAGGAAACTGAGGCTGGGAGACTCACTTGCCAAAGCTCACACAGCCAGGAAGTGGCAGAGCCGGGATTTGAATTCTGTTGGCTACACAGCTCACAGAGCCTCCTTGCTGGTCCTCCCAGCAGCTGCTCCAAGGAGCCAGTGGGAGCTTCTGTGCTCTTCTGGGGTCTCTCAGTAGCTCAGAGCATAGATACAACTCACCCTTCTCTCCATCACTCAGCAGACGGGCTAGCCTCCTCCCAGGTTCCAGTCTGTTTCCAGCCCTGCTCGAGAGTCTTATATTTTCCCCTCCCAAGTCCTCCTTTCTAATCAGGTCAGCCGTTGACTACGGGCCCCAAAATAATGCCAAGTGCAGCCTTTGCTGCATTGGATTTCTTGCTTGCTTAGCAGAATGGAAACTTTGGCATGGGTATATGTGTGTCCTTAAAAAAAAATCCTTTATTTACTCTGCTCCTGTTTTTATAAGATATGACTCTTAACGAGGCTTTAATTCAAGGTCAAAGAGTCGAGAAGTTGGTGAGAAAACCCGTCGCCCCTCGGGGCCCTGCTGGACACATAAACGGCCAAAGGATGGCTCTTTTCATCTCCTCTTTTAAACAGTCCCATTGCAACAGAGCTATTCCTTGCACGAGGAGGTAAAATATTTGAACTGATTGTATTGCCTGTTCCTAACTGTTTGCAGAATACATCTCTGCCCCCCTTGACTATTTATTTTTTCCTTTGCTGTAGTTCAAGGGAAATAATTTATTAACTTGGGAATTCCAAATAGTGCTCCCAAACCCCGCAGCGCCCCCGAGGCCCAAGCTGGCCTCTGCCTGCCCTGCTTGGGGAGTTGAAAGAGGCCTTTCCTTGAAACGCGCAGCCGTGTGGCAGGGCCCGGGAAGACGTGGGTAATGTATTCACAGACATGACTCCCAGACCCCGAGTGTCTTGAACCCTAGCCTCTGGGGACTGGCGCGGCCATGCCATCGACCTGAACCCCCTGGACTTCTGCCCCCCTGGACTGATGGCCTAAATCCATCAGGCTCACCAGCCCCGGTCTTGGACCACTGAATAATTTACGGTCCCTCGGAGCGGCGAGGAGCAGGTCACTGGAGTTCATGGGTTAATAACAGGTTTGGTTTTCGATGTCAGCAGCTCTCTTGATAACGTATGAAAGAATCCTATTCTGTTGATTAGATTTTGAAATGGATCAATTTTTAATCAGCCAAACACCTGACTCACTCAATAAGCGTTGCATTGTGGAGACAGGATGGAGGCCAGCTTTATTTACAAGAGTGTTTGTTTTTTGGGGGCCATACGCAAATTCCCACCCAGATCCCTCCTCCTGGAAGAAATTGACCAGATTATCTCCCACCTCAAATGGCAGCATTTGATTCATCTTCTGATTAGTTGGGAAATCCATGGGTCTGTTTAAGAGATAAGAACAGCAGCTAAAGGTTTGATTTAGTCTTCTGTGGTTATTGATGGGAAAAGCATTTATTTGTCAATGAAGAAATTTTTGCTTAATGTAACAGCAAGAAAGAAGAGAGGAAACAAAGGGAGTCCAGGTGGTACCCAGGGGTGGCAAAGGCATCTCAGCTCTGGGGGTACCTGGGGTTTCTGTCCCTGTCCTTGGAGATTTTCAAAACAATGATATAGAAATCAGCAAATGAGTACATTGAATTTGTAGGTGGCTAATTGTGGAGCAGTGGGGTGTTGCTTCTGGTCATTGTGTTTATTCATTCAACAACCAGTTGAGCCCACACTGTGCCCGGCACCAGACTAGGCATCGGGGATGAGCCGACATTGAGAGAGACAAGGCTTCTGCCCTTGTAGAGTTTCCATTCTGGTGGGAGGAGCCAGGCAGGAAAGAAAGGACAAAGTGTTCAATCACTAAGGCATGCTGAGCATTGGGAGGAAGCAGAGAGGAAGTTACCAGAGAAAGGAACAAGAGCATCTCATTTCAGGTGTTGGGGGCCAGGTGCAGCAGCTTATGCCTATAATCCCAGAACTTTGGGAGGCTGAGGCAGGAGGCTCACTTGAAGTCAGGAGTTCAAGACCAGCCTGTCCAACATAGTGAGACCCCCATCTCTACACAAAAATTTAATAAATTAGTTGGATGTGGTGGCATGCACTTGTGGTCCCAGCTACTCAGGAGGCTGAGGCGGGAGGATCACTTGAGCCTGGGAATTTGAGGCTGCAGCGAGCTATGATCGTGCCACTACACTCCAGCCTGGGCGACCGAGAAAGATCCTGTCTCTAAAAATAAAAAGTCAGCGAAGGAGTTTGGGTTTTCTATACAGTGCAATGGGGATCCACGGACAGGTTTTGAACAGGGGGGTGGCTTGTTTGAGTTTGGTGATGGAAAAGGTCACTCAGAGGCAGGTGGGCTGGGAGACCCCTGAGGGGTCTACTGTAGCCATCTGGTGAGTGATGATGGTGGCTTAACTGGGGGAAGCGGATGGGTTCGATCATTCTGGTCAGGGGCCAGGTGGCTGAGGAAAAGGAGTCGTGCGTGGGAACACCTGGGGTCCCAGCCTAGCCTAATGAGGCCTATAGCCCCAAGCCTATCCTGGCCTGGTCCCATGGGGGCTGAGGAACTACTTGCAGCAGAACATTAGCTGTCTATGGACTGGGAAGAGCTGGGACCTGGTGGCCCAGAGCTTGCAAACTTGGGCTCTAAGATCAGATAGATGTGGGAGCTTCCCATCTCACTGCCTTTTACAAACTGGTGGCCTCAGACAAATTGTCATTCACACGTACAAGCAGGTTAGAATAATTTTTGGTCTAAGACTTTCCTTCTGGAAAGAAGAAACTACCAAAAGTGGTTGCCCCTGGAAAGGGATTCTTGGGGTGGGTGGGGGATTTACTTTCTCCTCTGGTAGCCTCTGAGTTTATGCTATAGGTGAGTATTATCTAGTCAAAATTGTCCACATCATCTGCGACACACAGCAGCATGGACCTGTGGTGGCCTTCTGAACGAGGACTGGTTTTGCTGCCCCATTTTACAGATGAGGCTCAGGCAGGGGCAGTCGCTTGCCTGCAGTCACACAGCCCTACCTGGTCGCTCAAGCCCCTTCCCAGGCCCTGACCCCTCCCTGGCTTCCCTTCCCTGCTGTGTTTTCGGCTTGTCTTCCTCGTTGCTGTTGGTTAAGTTTGTAGACTTAGTGAGACCTAGAAGAGCAAGATTTTTCCTGGCACGAGTAGTGATTTCTCATTCCCCCATGCTCTGCTCTAAGAATCATTGATTGGGCAGCTTTATTTATTAGCTTAATCTTTGCACATCCCTCAGCGGCACTGTTCTCCCACCTGCTTTGTCCAGGGCAGAACAGCCTGTGCGTACACCTGTGTGCATGTGTGTCCAGGTCAGTTTGTGTGGGTGTCCACATGGGATGTTCCAAGTGTGGGTTTGGGACTGGGTGGGAGGACGCCTCACTTCACAGCTCTCCCTGGTGACAAGCAGGTGCCCACAATCATCTTAATCCAGGCGCAGCACACAGGAATTGCTCACCAAGAGATGGCAGTGGAAAAATACCCTCTGGTCTAATGTCAGAAGTCCTGGGTTCTAGTCCTGTCATGCCCACTTGCTTGCTGTGTGACCTTGATCAAGTCACTTCTGTTCTCTGGGCCTCAATTTCTCATCTGTAAAACGGGGATGATGATAATATCTGGCCTTCTTGTTTCTTGAACGGACTGAGCACTTTCTCACCTCAGGGCCTTTGCACTGGCTGTTCCCTCTGCCCACGGCAGCCTGCCCTGCTCCTTTGCTCTGTCTGGTGGTCTTTCAGAAGTTACCTTCACAGGCTTCTCCAGCCACCCTGACTAAAATCCCGTAACACACACACACACCTACACACGCAGCCCTCACTTCCCTCCCCTGCTGTATTTTCTTTCTTCCTTAGCACTTAACATGATTGAACATTTATATTTCACCCATTTACCTTGTTTGCTGATTTCTCCCATTAAAATGTCAGCTCTAGGGCCAGGAGTGGTGGCTCACGCCTGTAATCTCAGCACTTTGGGAAGCCGAGATGGGAGGATTGCTTGAGGCAAGGAGTTTGAGACCAGCCTGGGCAATGCAGCAAGACCCCATCTCTCTGTCTCTCTAAAAAAAAAAAAAATAGCCAGGCATGGTGCTATGCACTCATAGTCCTAGCTACTCAAGAGACTGAGGCAGGAGGATCACTTGAGTGCAGGAGTCTGGGGCTGCAGTGATCGTACCACTGCACTCCAACCTGGGTGACAGAGTGAGACCCTGGCACTCAAAAAATAAAATGTCAGCTCTAGAAGGGCAAGGATTTTTGTGTGTTTTGCTTACTACTGTCTTCCTAGCACCTAAAATGGCACTTGGCACAGAGTAGGTGCTCAGTAAGTATCTGTTGAAGGAATGAGTGAAATAAGTCAATATAATATAGGCACTTCCTGGTATATAATAAGCACTCAACAAATATAAGTTATTGTTATTATTACTGATATTACTGCTATTAAGCTTTCTTGAGCCTCAGTTTCCTCATCTATAAAGTGGAGACGCTGCTGATAATAGCTATGATAGAGTTATTGTGAAGTCAGTGCTGTAACTGTCGGCTCCTAAAATTATTCAATACATAGGAGCTCTTATAGCTGTCGGTACAATGAATAATAAGGGCCAGTAGTGGGAGTGTTTCTGGAGAGTGGAGTTTGTGTCCAGGACCCAGGCCTCAGCCCTCACCATGCTGTCACCGTTTCCGATTGACTGCTGCAGTGGTGGGAGGATTGATCTTTTTGTTTGCCCCCTACTGTTGTCCACCCAGAGTGTCCAGCTGAGGTTTACAAACACCCCTCTGGGAGTCCAGCTTTCTCGAGCGGTGTCTCAAATTCTTCTAGATAAAGTTCATTTTATTTTGTTTTTATTGTCTTTTTAAGTATGGGAAGTTTCTGTTTGGGAGGGGAAGACCAGTGGATATTTATTGTCCTAGGGAAACATCCCTAGCACATTGCTCTATGGATGAAAGCCACTGCCAAGCAGCACATGTGGTGTAGTTTCTGTAAATTAAGAAAGCAGAGCCTCCTCTGACCAGGGGAATGAGATCTAGTCTCACCCCTAGAGTCAGGGAAGAACCTCACCCAGGACTCTTAATTGCAAACAACAGAAACCGACTCAGCCCCCACCAAGACTCATGTAAGGAGGGGCTTCTCCACCTATAGGAAGGAGATTCTGATTCTGACTGGCCATAAAGCATGACAGATGTTGGTGACAATTGGGAGAAGTTAGGATGAGGTGAGGAGGGGACCCCAAAGAGAATAAGGAGTGATTTCTGGATGCAGCGGGAATTGGTGCTGTGGTGGTGACCAGCCACTGTCCACTGTGTAGCCTGAGATAGGGCAGAAGATAAGCAGGTGCTGTTCTGTTCCCCTTGGACTTTTTAGTGTCTTCCACGAGCTTCCGCCTGCTGGTGACTGCATCTCTGTTTTTTTTCCAAAACTGTAAGACCACTTTGCCTGAGAGAGGGCAGGCCAGAAGTATTGAGGCCGTAACCCCCCAGGTGCAGCCCTCCAGCCTCAGGAGTTGGCATATAAATGCCCCGGCTCCCTCACCCTGAGAGGAATGACACAGATGCCTGTTTTGCTCTTCCTTGGGGTGGTGGAGATTATAGGCAATTTTCGTGTTTGGCTTTCTTAAGGAGGATTTTAGGTTTTCAGCATAGAGAATGTATCATTTTGCCGTTTTAAATCAACCTTCTACAAAAGGACAGGAATGTCCCTGGGAAGGTTGGGGATGTCTGTGTGGGGACAGCAGGTGTTTTGAGGCATCTCTGTGTTGTATCTGCTCATGTTGTGGACAGAGCAATTCAGGCTTCTTCATCCAGCAGAGATGAGCGGGAGAGAGAGAGAAGGGAGAAAGTGGAAAATCACAATATATTGGAAGGAATATGATATTTGTAAAGGAATTAGAGTCAGTCCAAATAAAAGGCTGGTGGCCTGAATTGGTTTGATTCCAGGAGTTTTCTGAATTTGCCACTTTAGTGGGAAGAGGGATTTGAATTAATTTCACACCTCTTGAATGCCTACGGTGTGCCAAGGACCGTGCTGGGCAAGTGTCCGAAAATGTCTGAGAAAATCAAAAAACAGCAGGGACCCAGGTCGGACTGGAGTGGCAGGTCGCCCCTGGGATGTTAAAGCCCAGGGTGTAGGGACAGAGGAAAGAGAGTGGTTAGACCAGCCAGGGAGCTGGGAGAGAGGACACAGCTTTGAAACCAGACAGAAACTTCCCCTCCCAAACAGAAGCTTCCCATGAAACTTCCCTGAAACGTGGAAGACTCGCCGGGAGGTGGAGGAGGCAGGTGCCCCAGAGCAGAGCATGAGCAAAAGCTCAGAGGGGAAGGCATGGCCACACCCTGGGGGCCCTGAGCAGACTGGTTTGGCTTGTCTGGGAAGGGTGGGCAATGTGGAAGTTAGGCTGGGAGATTGCAGGACCATGGGTGTCGTGAAGAGGGGTTGCTGGGTAGCTTGGTGGGCCATGGGGAGCCATGGAGGACATTTGAGCAGGAGGAGGAGGTGTTCTGAGCTGTGCTGGAAAGAGTCTTCTATCACAGTTTCTCGACTCCACACTGTTGACATTTGTGGCCGTTTCATGGTAGGGGCTGCCCTGTGCCTTTTAGGGTGCTTAGCAGCCTTACTGGCCACTCCCTTCTAAGTGGCAGTTGCCTCCCCTGCTAAGTTGTACCAACCAAAAATGTCTCCAGATACTGCTGACTGTCCATTGGGGGTCACGAGCGACCTCAGCCAAGAACCACGGTACCACCTTAGGAGAGAGATGAGCAGGGTGACCAGCCAGAGAGCAGCCACCAAGCAGGTGACCATTGAGGTCACCCAGAACTGGGGCAGGGCAGGGGAAAGAGGGCATGGGTGTGAGAGGCCTTCCAGAGAAAGGATTAAAAGGCCAGGGATCAGCAGGCCAAGGAGACCACGAAGGAGACAGATGTTGGAGCCTGGGGCCGGGGTCCAAGGTCTAGGGCCTGATGGGTCTATGGGACCAAGGACAGATGGGAAGGGAAGAGGAGTCCTTTGGGGTGAGTGGAGCTTGAGGACCCCAGAGTCAATGCATCTTGGGGTGCCATCCAGGGCTTAACATAAAGTGGGTCTGTGGTAATGGGGTGGGTGTTGCTGAGTGAATGAATGAGCCAGATATAAGTCACTTAGGCAAAAGAGGACTGAGGTTTAGGAGGGAGTTAAGAGGCTGCTTCCTGTGCAGTTTAGTGAGAACCTGCTGTGTCTCGGATTCCATGGAGAATACAGCCCAGTGGAGGGGACGCCCACCGAGCAAACTCACAGGTAATAGAAGATGACAGCTGGCACTGAGAGCTCCAAGAGGGAAGCACGGGAGTTTGTAGTCGTGAACCTTGGGGCTGGCAGGGAGATTGGGAGAAAAGGCCAGGCAACCAGTCAGGGGCTGCCATCCACAGGGCAGCCCGCCTTTGGCCCAGAGAACGTGCTTGTTCAAGGTTACTTTGATGGGGGAAGAACAACAAGCCAGCCCTTGGCACAAAGGGCAGTGAGAGTAGAGAGCAGGGCCATCTCCTCGAGTACCAGGGTGGGAGTAGTCAGGGAGGGCTTCCCTGAGGAGGTGAATGCTGGAGCTGAGGACGGAAGGATGAGTAGAAGTGTACATGGGGAAGTGTGAGGGAACAGCATATGCAGAGGCATCACGCTGTGCTTGTCAGAGACCAGAGGCAGATAGAGCCCTGACTTGTCTTACTCCTTACAAATAAATATGATTTTCCTCCTGGTCTACAGCGGTGAAGACTGAATCAGCAGGAGTGGAGTGGTTAGTGGTGCCTGGGCTGGTGGGCATTCTCTGAGCCCTGAGACATAAAGGATTTCAGCCCCCGCCCTTTCCTCCCATTCCTGCCCAAGTACCATCTGTTTCTAGGGGAGCAGGTGGAGGGACCCCAGATGTCCCCTGTCCCCTGCTTTAGCAGTTGACAACCTGTGAATATTTAGAAAGTGTGATTTTCAGTTCCTCAGTGCACCGCTGGAGAAAGCAAACTTTAACTTTTTCCTCTTTTTTTCTTCTTTGTTTTTTCAAGGCCAATTTAAACAGAATCTTTTTTTTTTTTTTCCCTAGAACAAGCCACTGGCTATTACGGAAATAGTAAACAGGAGTCAGGGCTGGGGCATAAGTGGCCTGTTTTAATTAGAACATTAAAGTATTTTAACGCTTACACTTTATATTTCTGCGAACTTGATTATATAGCATTTTAAATACCTGTGAACGTTTTAAGGACTCACAGCGATGAATTATTTGCAGGTTCACAGGAAACTTCTATTTTAAAAGCAAAATGGTATGAGAGTGGCTGTGAAAGCTTTGCGGCAGCGACGGCGCTGTATAATGAGGGGCCACGTGGCGGGCGGGCTGGTAGACAGCCCGCTGTACCTGCTCTCACTCGGGCTCCGGGGTGCCCACCTTCTGGAGAGGCTGCTGCGGGGTGCAGGGGATTGGAGGGACCTCACCCCCTCTTCTCCCATTCTTCCTCTTCTCACCACAGTGAAGCCACATGGACCTTCTCATCATTCTTTTATTCTCTTGGTATTCATTGAGCATCTACTATGTGCCAGGCATTGTTCCACACACTGTGACAGAGCAGGCAACACTCCCTGCCTCCGTGGAGCTGACCTTCTAGTCTGGGGAGACAGGTGGCAAAGAAAAAAAAATAAATGAACATCATGATGATAAAAATGGTGAAGGAAAGGAAAGTAGGATAGAGGATGGGGATGGAGGTGCTGTGGTGTGCTGGAGTTGGCTCATACCAGCTCCTGAGAGCTGACTGTGTGTGTCTCTTCCCAGCCTTTCATTCAGTGACATTCCATGGGCAGCTTAACATCAGCCAAGGTGGAAGAATTTACCCCATGGAAATTGGCAGATGCCACAAATCAGGGCTTACTCCTTAGAGAGCCCATTGTTAACCATTTACCAGCATGCATCTGAGCAGGTCATGCGGAGATCTGGGGGAGGGTTGGGAAGGGTGTTCCAGGCATTCCCTGATGTGGGAATGTGTTCAGAAGGGTTGAGGAACATCCTGGAAGCCAGTGGGGATGGGATGAGTGAATGAAGGGGAGAATGGAAGGAGATAAGGCCAAAGGAATTCTGTAAATACTTTTGGTCTCTGAAATCCTCTAATCAGTTTACTTGTGCCTCCAGAACTTTGTGCATGCTGTACCTCTGCCCAGAATGCTCTTCCCCTGGCTGATTCCTTTGGTTCCTGTCTCCCCTAGAGAAGTGTTCCGGGACCATTTTTGCCACAGCACATCTTTCGCCTTTATTCTTATATCAGCACTACTTGGTTCCCTTCCCAGCATTTGTTTCCAGTTGTAATTGGGTATTGGGTTGTTTCTTTGAGTTTGGAATCTGTCTCCCTCATTGGACTGTAAGTTCAGAAAGATCTCGTCCCCTGCCATCTCCCCACCTTCCAGCAAGGGCTTACACAGGGCAGATGCTTGAAGCATTATTGTCACATCAGTGAATGCTGGTGGAGAGACTTTTCTGCACTTATTATTGGTTTGGGAAATGCCCTGAATGGTGTGAGATCAGGGATCAGGAGCAGATGTAGCTGATGGAGAAGCTAGAGGCTCCTACCTTGTGCCAGGCCTGATCCAGGAGCATAATTCCTAGGTCCCTTCTAGTTAACTTTGAAGCAACACAGTGGCAGATTGAGGCCACTCTGATGATGGTCATAGTAATTACCCCCACCAGCTACCAACCTGTCAGTGAGAAAGAGCATTCTCTCTGCTCCTGCTAAAGACATTGGCCACTTCAGTGGTTAAATATTTCTATTATATCATGGTAGTATCACAGAGCAATGGATGTGAGTTCAGAACTTAAGATGAAGATTGTGTCACTGATGGAGAAAGTACTTAGTTCACAGGCAACTGGAACTGTGTAGCCTGGGGTGCATCAAAGAAGGAAACATTTTCATCAAAAGAATCAGGTTTGGCTGACCTGATTATTTCTTTTTCTAATGATGAGAGCTTAGAACATAATGATTGAGGTGATCAGCATTTAGGCCTTTCATAGTTAATGAGGAACTGTCCAATTTATCTTAGAAACAATTGCTATCCAGGGCCTTTAGTGAAGTGTGCAGTGCCTGGGAGAGAAAGACACTTAACATCACAGAGCTGGGTGCAGACAGGGAGAGGAAGAAGGCTCCTCTTTTAGGACATCAAATTGACTCTGTCTCCGAGGGTTTAAATCCTGGCTCTGCCCTTCCCAGCCATATGCCCTTTGGCCACTTGTTTAGCATCTTGGAACCTCAGTTTCCTCTTCTTTAAAATGGGGCTGATGGAGCAGTTATCTCAGGGAATGGTTTTTGGTTTATGAGGATTAAAAGTGATGAGGCACAGCTGGGTGCAGTGGTGCATTCCTGTAGTCCCAGCTACTTGGGAGGCTGAGGCAAGAGGATCACTCGAGCCTAGGAGTTTGAGGCTACCCTGTGCAACATAGCGAGACCCCATCACTAAAAAAAGTGATGATATGTGTAAAAATCTGAGAATGGTGCCAAACATGGCACTCAAGAAATGTTACCCATTGCTATTCGAGCTGTCAAGTGACATACTTTTTATAGCCTATGAAATAGGAATGGACATAGTAAGTTATTCTACCGTAACAAGGGACTTACTAAAGAAAATGCTGTGGGCCGGGCACAGTGGCTCACACCTGCAAGCCCAGCACTCTGGGAGGCCGAGGCAGGCGGATTGAGGTCAGGAGTTCATGACCAGCCTGGCCAACATGGTGAAACCCTGTCTCTACCAAAAATAAACACACACACACAAAAATTAGCTGGGCGTGGTGGCGGGCACCTGTAATCCCAGCTACTCGGAAGGCTGAGGCAGGAGAATTGCTTGAACCTGGGAGGCGGAGGTTGCAGTGAGCCAAGATCGTGCCAGTGCACTCCAGTCTGGGCACAGAGTGGGACTCCATCTCAAAAAAAAAAAAAAAAAAAAAAAAAAAAGAAAGAAAAGAAAGAAAATGCTATGAAGAAGAAGTCACCAGAGTTTTCTAGCCTGCCAGCTGGTGGCTTCATCTTGATGCAATGCATGTTTTACTAGCAGGTAATACTATTCCTTGAGAAAACACACGCAAGTGCTTTGCACTTAACCTGGCTCACTGGAGCAGCTACTAATTTGATCATTAATCAGAGAATGCTTTTCATTTCTGTGTGTGGCTGTAGAGTCGACTTAGCCATAAGTTGTTTGTTCAGTCATTTTGTTTTGTATCATCCAAGAGGACAGAGGCTTTGTCTGCCTTTGTGTGCTGTCTCCTCAGTGCCTAGAACAGCCCCTGCACATAGTAGATGTGTGATGGATATCTGTTGAATGAATGAAATTATATGCCTGTATGGGTTTAAAAATGAAGGACTATATCCTAGGGAACTGAAAACTGAAGTTTACCCCAAAACCTGCACACAAATGTTCTCAGAAGCTTTATTCATGAGTAGCCAAAAAGTGGGAACACCCCAGATGTCCTTCACCAGGCCAGTGGTTCAACTGTGGCACCCCCACACCGAGGAGCACTACTCAGTAATGAAAAGGAACGAACTATTGATAAGCTAATGATGTGGATACAGCTTGAAGGAATCGTGCTGAGGGAAAAAAGACTATTTCAAAAGGGATTACTTACTGAAGGATTCCACTTACTTAGCATTCCCGAAAAGACAAGGTTGGGGAACAGGGAATGGAGTGGGAATGGGGTCAGGGAGGAAAATATGTGTGCTTATCAAAGGGCAGCACGAAGGCCTGGGGGTGATGAAATGCTCTGTACCTTGACTGTGTCAATGTCAGTATCCTGGTCCTGCTGTCAGTGTTGTAAAATGTGACCCTTGGGGGAAATTGGGTGAAGGGGGCAAGAGATCTCCCTGTGTTCTTTTCCAAACTTCTGACCTCAAGAAATCCTCCCTTCTCAGCCTCCCGAAGCACTAGGATTGCAGGCATGGGAGCTACCACGCCCAGCCTCTCTGTATTCTTTCTGCATGTGAATCAGCAATTATCTCAAAATAAAAAGTTCAATTAAAAAAAAAAGTAAAGGACTGAAACCACTGCATTAATTATTCAAAATGCAGCGGGCTGAATCCCTACGATGTGACGCATTAACTGGAGTCTTCATAGCAGCGGACTGAATCCCTACGATGTGACGCTTTAACTCTAGTCTTCATAGGAGCCCTGTGGAGTAGATGGAGATGATGTCACCATTTTTCAGAGAAGGAAAAGGCTCAGAGAGCTTAAGGGACTTGTCTGAAGACAGACAGCTGGCAAATGGTAGAGACAGGACGCAGACCTGGGAGTGTCAGGCCCTGAGCCCTTAGTTCTTTCCTCTAGACGTGCAACTCTGAGCGCCTCAGGTTTGGACAATGAGCTGAGCTATGAAGCTCACCTGTCGTGCATGGACATGAGATGTCCGACCGGGCAGCTGGGTGCCATGGTACCCCCGTCTGACGAGGCTGACAGCTCTGCAGTGGGGAGAGGCGGTGGAGAGTCATCTTGGGTTTCCCACCTGCCTGCTCCTGAGTGAGCTGCTGACCCCTCAGGAGTTACGACCCCCTCCCCACTCCACTAGGTTTGCCTTATCCAGGGGCGGTGGTGTGCAGTGTTGGGTGGTATTATGACATTTTACAGGTGAGGAGACTGAGGCACGGGGCGAAGGGACCTGCAGGATATTCCAAGTGGAGATGCAGTTCTCCCTAGCTCCAGCATCCTGTGGTAATGATCACGGTCAGTTTGCTTTGTCCTGTGCAGTTCCTGTTCTCAGAGCATCTTCTGCCCTGTGACAGTGATCAAGGGCACAGGCCCTGGAGGCCAAGTCCAGCAGCGCTGGGATTGAGTCTTGGCTCTGTAGATCACCAAACTGTGGCCTTAAGCAACTGATTTCTCTTCAAGCCTCAGTTTCCCCATCTGAGAAATGGGGGGAGTAATGGGGATTAAATAGAAAATATGTTTGATAACACACTGTAGGGGACAAAAAATGCTAGCAGCATCTGAAGCCTGTAATTTGGAACCCTGGTCTGTCTGCTCTGAGGCCCAGGGCTCTGAGCTGAGAGGAGCAAAGCCTCCACCTGAATTATCCACCCTGATGTTACCCCTCCAGGCCCTACAGTGCTCTCCTGGACCCAAGTTCTGCTAGGCTGTTGGTTTTCTGAGCAGGGCAGTATGTGTTGCAACAGCGGCCATCCAGAGGGCCTGGAAAGCCCTCTGCAGGAGGCAGCATCGAAGCTGAGAGCTGAAAGATGGCTGGGCATTCCTAGGTTAATGGGAGGAAGTAGAGGGAAAGGCATTCCAGAGAGAGGGAACAGCAAGTACAAAGGCTCAGAGGTCAGAGAGTGCAGGTGCTTTTGGGGAACTGTAACCAGAGCATTCATGCTTGAGCATTAAGCAGGCAAAAAGCAGAACCTAGTCACTGTGGCCCTAGGTCTCCTCTTCAGTTAAAACATCACAAAGCAGGCTGGTGGCCTTTCAGGGGGCTCATGGGCAGATAAGGAGTTTGGACTACATTTTGAGGGTGATGGGAGCCATGGAGGTTTTGGGGCAGAGGAGTGATGCAGGTGGGCTTAATGTGAGGAAGGTGCCTCTGGCCATCATGTGCAGTGGAGGGGAGCAGAGGTGAGCTCCAAGTGGAGGCAGGGAGGCCAGGGAGGAGGCAGCTGCAGCATCTTGATGAGTGATCTGATCCCCGGTCCTGGAGCAGAGTTGTGGGAATGGGCTTGGATAGGAGTGACCAGCTAGGGACATTTGTCAGTGCTGAATTGACAGAGCTCTCCGTGGGGCCAGATGAGGGAGCATCTCAGGTGAGCGAGGTTTCTGTCTTGGGTTCTGGGCTGGCCCGAAAGGGGCAATCCCTTTACCTCTTTTTTGTTTTGAAATGGAGTCTCTCGCTCTGGAGTGCAGTGGCATGATCTCGGTTCACTGCAACCTCCGCCTCCTGGGTTCAAGCGATTCTCCTGCCTCAGCCTCCTGAGTAGCTGGGATTACAGGCAGGCGCCACCACACCTGGCTAATTTTTTGTATTTTTAGTAGAGATGGGGTTTCACCATGTTGGCCAGGCTGATCTCAACCTCCTGGCCTCAAGTGATCCACCTGCCTCAGCCTCCCAAAATGTTGAGATTACAGGTGTGAGCCACTGCGCCCGGCCTGCGATCCCTTTACTACACTATTCTTTGGTCTCTGTAAAACAGAGGTGATTTCCACCTCCCCATCTCTCGGCATCCTTTTTCTGGGTGAGGGTCAAATGATATCCTCCCTGAGCCCACACCTTGCAGTGAACTGCAAAAAATCCCAAACCTCACCAAGAGGCCCCTCATGTTAGAGATACAAGCTCCATCATTTTGTCCGGTGGTTTTTCAAATGTGCCACCAACCCATCAGCTGAACAGAGATGCTACTTCTCACTCTCTCTGTTTTTTTTTTAATTGTAAAAACCAGTTTGAGGTCTCCTTCTCATCTCAGGAGAGGCACTGAGAAACAATGCCATCACCAAACAGCAGGTTCTAAGCAAGCACAAGCCAGCATTGATGGAGCACCTACTGTGTGCCGAGGCTCCCTGTGTGCTTCTCCTTGATCTTCTGGGTTAAGGCCACGGGGGAGTGAAATCTGACAGAGTGAGTCTGTGCCCGGCTGCGCCGTGTCCTCACTACATGGGACCTTGAGCCAGGAATTCAGTCACTCTCAGCCTCAGTTTGCACATCCGTGTGCACATCCATGTAAGGGGTCACTCACTGGACTCACCCAAAAGGTGGCTGAAGGAGTCAGTGTTCCCACTCCAGCCAGGGCCAGGTGAGCGGGCACCATGGACTGGATAAAAGACAGTCTTGGACTTGGCCCCAGGAGGTTGGCCTCATTGTTCCTGTTTGCGGAGGGAAGTCAGATCCGCAGCCCCAAAGCTGCCAGGGTGTATTTCCCGACTCAGCCGTGCCCTTTTCACAAAGGCCCGGAGGAGACACAGCTGGGGTTGCTGCTGGCGGAGGTCAAGTGCAACCGGGCAGCGTTCACTCCTCCCTGTACAGACCCCTAAGAACAGAGATCAGGCCATCGAGGGGTGCAGGATTGGGCCACCTCATCCCAGTTGCCCAACTGATGGGGCCCACTTCAGTTTTTCACCCCACCCAGCCTGGAACCTTCCCAAAGCCCAGATAATTGTCACCTGGGGTTCTGTGCACTTTTTATAGAAGAACGCTGTGTTCCTTTCTGAGGACACTTGTAACAAATTACCACCAACTAAAGGGGACTTAAAATAGTAGAAGTTTGTCCTCTCGTGGTTCTGGAGGCCAGAAGTCCAAGATCAAGGTGTCTGCAGGGCTGTGCTCCCTCTCCAGACTCCAGGGGAGGGTCCTTCCTCACCTCCCCCAGCTTCTGGTGGCTGCCGGCCCTGCCTGGTATTCCCTGGCTTGTGGCCGCATCACTAGGATCTTGCCTCCATCACCACATGACTGTCTTATCTTTGCACCTGTCTCTTCTTATAAGGACAAGGGTCGCTAGATTTAGGGCCCACCCTAATCCGATATGCTCTCATCTTAACATAACTGATTAAATCCACCCGCCTTGGCCTCCCAAAGTGCTGGGACTGCAGGCATGAGCCACTGCACCCAGCCAAGCTCTAACAGATTTAAGTTTCTTTCTGACCTTATCTTATTTCCAAATAAGGTCACATTCTGAGGTTCAAGATGATGTGAATTTTAGGGTACCACAATTCAACCCAATACCAGCATCTTTAGAAAACGTTGAGAGCAAGGGTGTCCTTTTCACCCTGACCTTTGTTAGGAGTTTTGTGGTGAAGAAGAGAGAGGGTGTGCGAATGTCTCCCCCATCCGCAGGCAGGAAGAAGGGCTCCAGCTGTTAGTCCCAGATGTGTCTCTGAATGAAACACTGAGACTTGAAGTCTTGGCTGCAAACAGGGGGCTGTGTGGTCAGGCAGGAGGAGCAGAGTCTTCTGAGCAGGCTGAGCTGAGGTCTAGGCTATTGGCCTTTCCTCACAGCTTGCCTTTCCCAGACCCTCAATTTTCATCTCTGTAAATTGGGCATAATAATAGTACCTTCCCAATGCGGCTGTTGGGAAGACATCACTGTGGGTTTTAATGCTAGACACTGACTAGTCCAAGGTCTCATTTGGACAAAGAATCTGGGACTGGGAGAGGAGCCGTAAGCAAAAGTGACAGGCCTGGAATCAGGGCTGGATCTGCTGCCTCCAAGAACAGTGTTCCTTTCTCACATCCAGCCCTGGTCCTGCCAGCGATTGGCTAGGAGGGTCTAAGACCTTTAATAATAAAGCTGGCAAATAGGAATGGCAGAGGCTAATCTTTGCAGTGACCCTCTGAGGAAGGGACAGCTGTAGTAATCCATATTTATTTTCCTGATAAGGAAACCAAAGCTCTGGCAGATTTTTTTTTTTTTTTTTTTTTTTTTTTAAGAAAAGTTCTCACTATGTTGCCCAGGCTGGAGTGCAGTGGCCCGATCATGGCTTACTACAGCCTCTGCCTCCCAGGCTCAAATGATCCTCCCCACCTCATCCTCCCGAGTAGCTGGAACCACAGGTACATGCCAACAAGCTCAGCTAATTTTTGTATTTTTTGTAGAGACAAGTTTTTGCCATATTGCCCAGGCTGGTCTCGAATTCCTGGGCTCAAGAGATCCACCTGCCTTGGCCTCCCAAAGTGCTGGGACTGCAAGCATGAGCCACTGCACCAGGCCAGGCCCAACAGATTTAAGTTTCCTGCCCAAGGCCATGCAGTTGGAACGTAGTGGAGCTGAGATGCAAATGCAGGTACATCCACCTCTATGTCTCACTTCCTCTGGCTCCCCTGTACCTCAGTTTCCCTATCTGGAAAATGACACCTGTTTCAGGTTCCCAGCTTAGATGACCCCGACTCCAGTAGAACTGTGCTGTTACATAAACTCTGGCTCGCCCAGGAGGGTGTCCTAGCTTTTGCATCTCCTGCCCCTCACACCACGGCGACTTGAGATTTTTACACAGACGAGAACTGTGTGTGGGGCGGTGAGCAAGTAAGTGCGTGTTTGCAACAAATATTTTATAATAGACAAGCCTCGTCTGCCACTTCTAAAAGTAGTGAAAAAAAAAAACCCACTTTGAGAAAGTAAAAATAACCCAACGCCTGAGTCACTGAAGTCACTGAACTCAGCTGGAACCGGCAGCTCCAAGCTGAACTGACTGCTTCAGCTCACCCAGGGCAGCAGGGCTGGGGCCAGAAATTTGACGGGGGGGCGATGAACACCTGAGCTTTTAGGGGGAAGTCCCAGTGGTTAGTTTGTGGGTGAAGCGCCTGTCGCTCTTCCTTTTATTTTAAGCTGCAGGATGAAATGGCTCCCTGAAACCCTCTATCTTCTTTTTCTTTTAAAAGTGACTTGACAATTGATAATTTTGCCCTGGCGATGGACACCTTAGAGCTTTTATTTCTTGGAGGCCAAACATTGATGTTGTGTGAAATGGGAGCTTGGCGGAGCCTTTGTGCGGATCTCAAGCTTCCTGAAAAATTTATTTACTGTGACTGTGATCCGCAGGAGCCAATTGATGTTTATCTATAGTCGTTCGCGCCAGCAAGGAGGGGAAAAATGCATAACTGCACTTTCTTCAGAAGCCTTGCGAGGCTGTTTAAATAAGTATCTAATAGTGAACTTTCAATAGCAGACAGGCAATTTGACGGACAGGGGACAGTGTATTATTAACCATAAGCAGGCTTAATCTTTCCCCCACATTTTAGAGGAAGCTTTATAACCTTCTGGCAGAGGAATTCCTGAAAACGAGGTATTTGAAGCTAAGCAAAAATTATCCTGGCCATTCCCGTGGCAGAATCGATCACTCCAAGAGCCGCATGAAGGAGGGGAACAGGCTGCGGCTGGGCCCGGTGTGAGCAGCCCTGGCCACCTCATTGTGGCGGAAGGGCCCGAGAAGTGGACGGGGACCGGGAGCGGGCAGAGGGAGGCAAGGGTCATGCTGGAAGCCTGGTTTTCCTGCCAGGTAAGTAACTTCTGCTGTTAACTGAGCTTGGGGACTGGGGTCAGAGACCTGTGTCTTCCCCCTGTGCCCCGGTTGCAACAGCACCTAGCTTTTGGCAGCATCCACCTTTTTTCTTTGAGACAGGGTCTTGCTCGGTTGCCCAGGCTAAGAGCAGTGGTGCAGTCCCAGCTCACTGCAGACTCAACCCCTTAGGCTCAAGGCATCCTCCCACCTCAACCTCCCCAGTATCTGGGACTACAGGCGTGTGCCACCATGTCTGGCTAATTTTTCTGGGCTGGGGGGAGATGGAGGTCTCACTGTTTGCCCAGGCTGGTCTCCTACTTCTGGGTTCAAGTGATCTTTCCATCTCAGCCTCCCAAACTGCTGAGATGACAGGCATGAGCCACTGCAGCTGGTGCATCCACCTTTTAAGCAATAGAAGTGATTTATGTGATACTGTTCAATGCATGTCTGTCTTGCTCATTGTGCCGGAAGTTTTGTGCAGCCTGGAGGCTGTCTTATTTAACCAGGGAGGCTCTCTTGATCTCTGGACGAAGGTAGACTGGCTTAGTTACAGAATTGTCCCCTGGCCCCCTACCTGGCTGTCATCACCTTGGGAGTAATGCAGCCTTCAGTGTCTGTCTCCTCCTATTTAGAGGGTCAGCCGCAAGCACCCAGGGACTTCACCTCAGTCTGCCCAGCACCAGATACCCCATAGCATCTCTTATGCTGTTTATTGAATGACTAGCCATGTGTTTTCCTGGGGTGGGAACAGCTGTGGTTAAGAGCATGAGGGTGGCCAGGCGCAGTGGCTCATGCCTGTAATCCTAGAACTTTGGGAGACAGAGGCAGGTAGATAATTTGAGCTCAGGGGTTCAAGGCCAGCCTGGGCAACATGGTAAAACCCCATCTCTACAAAAAATACAAAAATTAGCCAGGTGAGGTGGCGCACGTCTGTAGTCCCAGCTATTCTGGAGGCTGAGGTGGGAGGATTGCCTGAGCCCAGGAGGTTGAGGCTGCAGTGAGCTGTGATTGTACCACTGCACTCCAGTGTGGGCAAGAGAGTGAGACCCTATCTCAAAGAAAAAAAAATGGATGAAGGTTAGATACTCTTGGTATCAAATTCCTGTCTGTTACCCACTGTGTGTTCTTAGGCAAGTGGTCTGCCTTCTCTGAGTCTTTATTTCCTGGTCTAATGAGGTAAGGAGGGAAATGACTTCACCATTTTAAGTCTCAGTTTCCTCATTTGTAAAGTAAGCATAGCAGTGCTCCCCTCCTTGAGGGCTGCAGTGAGAGGTAGATGAGAGGGTGCAGGTGAAGGACTCAGTGTGTGAGTTATAGCTGTTCTTATTAAAATTGTATTGATCAATATTACCGTTACTACCATCACTACTTTTTCTCTCCATGAAATAAGCGAAACTCACAGCCTCCATTTTGTCTGCTTCAGACATTGTCAACCCTTTCAATGTCTCAAAGCCAGAATGAAGGAGCATGCTGGGTGCCATGTAGGGTCCGGAAATGCTGGGCCTGGAGTGAGTCCCTGCACATGGTGGTTGCTCTCATGCATCTGCTCCGTGCAGGAGCAGTGAGCTGGCCCTGGAGCTGAGTCCCCTTGTGCAAGTCCGAGCCTCCTCGAGCAAGGGCTCAGAGGCTGACAGGGTCAGCAGTGATGCTGGGACAAGAGAGAGTGCCAGGGGCTCAACAAGTGGCTCGTGGATGAGTGATGGTTCCAGGATTAAGTGTGCCACCGAGCCCCCCATCAGCAGGGAGAACCAAGAGCTGCCTGGTGCTCAGAGCAGTTATCACCAGAGTCTGGTCCGCATTCTTGCCAACAGCCTAGAGAGTACAAAATGGAGCCCTCCGGTGGGGGTGAGGGGAAATCAGACCTTGGAGGTCTCAAGTTCCCTACCTGCCTGGGCTGAGGTTCTTTGTCTGCCCCGGGCTGTTCTATCCCCTACCCCTCACATCCTTTCTTGCTCTCCCAGAAGCCAGTTGGGTTTACCCAAATTATCATCCCCATGGCCACCACAGAGCAGAGTGGGAGGCGGGGCCCTTTGCTGGGTGCTCCCCGTATGGAATCTTAGGAGCTTTTATCACTTACACCCATTTTCC